>NC_000012.12:37763158-37914673 GCF_000001405.40 Homo sapiens | reverse complement strand
GAGTCCTATGGTGAAAAAGGAAATAACTTTGTATAAAAACTATGAAGAATCTTTCTGAGAAACTGCTTTGTGGTTTGTGCATTCATCCACATAGTTAAAACTTTATTTTGATGGATCAGTTTGGAAACACTGTTATGGCAAAATTTGTGAAGCCATATTAGGTAGCACAAAAAAGCCTGTGGTAAACAAGGAAATATCTTCAGATAAAAACTGGAAAGAAGCATTATGAGAAATGGCCTTTTGATGTGTGCATTCATCTCCCATTGTTAAGTCATTCTTTGGGTGGGACAGTTTGGAAACACTGTTTTTGCAGAATCTTCAAAGGGTTATTTAGGAGCACATTGATGTCTATAGTGGAAAAGGAAATACCTCCAGAGAAGAACTAGACAGAATTGTTCTGAGAAACTGCTTTGTGATATTTGCATTCATCTCAAAGAGTTAAACATTTCTTTGATTGATCAGTTTGGAAACACTGTTTTTGAAGGGATTTCAAGGGATATTTGAGTTCATACTGATGCCTACAGTCAAAAAGGATATATTTTTGGATAAACACCAGAAAGAATAATTTTGAGAAACTGCTTGGTGATGTATGCATTCACCTCACAGAGTTAAGATTTTCTTTTGAATGAGCAGTTTGGAAACACTGTTTTTGTATAATCTATGAAGTGATGTTAGTGCAAAAAGGCCTATGGCAAAAAACACACACCTCCAGATAAAAACTGTAAAGAAGTATTAACAGAAACTGCTTTATGAAGAGTGCATTCATCTCAGAGTTTTAAATCCTTCTTTTGATGGAACAGTTTGGAAACACTGTTTTCATAGAATCTGCGAAGCCATGTTTGGTAGCACAAAAAGGCCTATGGTGAACAACAAAATATCTTCAGATAAAAACTGGAAAGAAGCGTTAGGAGAAATTGCTTTCTCATGTGTGCATCAATATCAAAGAGTTAAATCCTTATTTTGATGCAATAGTTCAGAAACACTGTTTTTAAAGAATCTGTGAAGGGATATTTGGGAGTGCATTGAGTCCTACTGTGGCAAAGGAAATATCTTCAGAGAAGAACTAGACAGAAACTATCTGAGAAACTGCTTTGTGATGTGTGCGTTCGTCTCGCAGAGTTAAACTTTCCTTTTCATTCAACAGTTTGGAAACACTGTTTCTGTAGAATCTGCGAAGGCATATTTGGGAGCTCACTGAGGCCTATGGTGATAAATAAAATATCTTCAGATAAAAATTAGAAAGACGTTTTTGGGAAACTGCTTTGTTATGGGTGCATTCATCTCACAGAGTTAATCCTGTTGTTTGATTGAGCACTTTGGAAACACTGTTTTTGTAGAATCTGCTAAGGGAGAATTGGGAGAGCATGAGGCCTATGGTGAAAAAGGAAATAACTTCAGATAAAAACAAGAAAGAAGCTTTCTGAGAAACTGCTTTGTGATGTGTTCATTCTTCTCGCAGTGTTAAACGTTTCTTTTGATAGAGCAGTATGGAAACACTGTTTTTGTAGAATCTCCAAAGGGAAATTTGGGACTGTATTGATGCCTATGGTGAAAAAAAGAAATATCTTCAAAAAAACTAGAAAAAACTTTTGAGAAATTGATTTGTGACGTTTGTGTTCAACTCACAGAGGTAAACCTGCTTTTTGACTGAGCAGTTTGGAAACACCATTTTTGTAGGATCTGCAATGTGATATTTGAAAGTGAAGTTTGGACTATGGTGAAAAAGGAAATACCTTTGGATGTAAACTAGAAAGAAGTTTTTTGAGTAACTACTTTGTGATGTGTGCATTCATCTCACAGAATTAAAGTTTTCTTTTGAGTGAGCAGTTTGGAAACACCGTTTTTGTATATCTGTGATGCAATATTTGTTAGCGCAAAAATGCCTGTGTTGATATAGGGAACGTCTTCAGATAAAAACATGGACAGAAGCGTTATGAGAAACTGCTTTCTGATGTGTGTGTTCATCTCTCAGGGTTAAGTCCTTCTTTTGATGGAACAGTTTGGAAGCAGTTTTTTTTGTAGAATCTGCAAAGGGATATTTGGGAGCACATTGAGGTGTATTGTGGAAAAGGAAATATCTTCAGAGAAGAATTATATAGAAGCTTTCTGAGAAACTGCTTTGTGATGTGTGCATTCATCTTACAGATTTAAATGTTTCTTTTGACTGAGCAGTTTGTAAACCCTTTTTTTTTTGTAGAATCTGCGAAGGGATATTTGGGAACACATTGAAGCCTACGGTGAAAAAGAAATTTCTTTCGATAAAAACTGGAAGGAAGCATTTTGAGAAACTGTTTTGTGATGTGTGCATTCATCTCATAGAATTAAGCCTTTCTTTTGATAGAATAGTTTGGAAACGCTGCTTTTGTATAACCTGGGAAGTGATATTAGGTAGTGCTAAGAGGTCTATGGTGATAAAGGAAATATCTTCAGATAAAAACTGAAAAGAAGCTTTCTGAGACACTGACACATGGTGTGTGCATTCATTTCACAGTGTTAAATCTTTCCTTCGATGGAGTCTTTTGGAAACATCCTTTAACCGAATCTGCAAATAATTATTTGGGAGCACATTGAATCATATGGAGAAAAGGGAAATATCTCCAGATAAATACCAAAAAGAAGGTTTCTGAGAAACTGCTTCCTGATATGTGCATTCATCTTACAGAGTGAAAACTTTCCTTGATTGAGCAGTTTGGAAATCCTGTTTTGGTAGAATCTGCAAAGGGATATTTGGGAGTGCACTGAGGCCTATGGTTAAAAAGGAAATTACTTCGGATAAAAACTACAAAGAAGTTTTTGGAGAAACAACTTTGTGATGTGTGCATTCTTCACACACATTTAAACATTTCTTTTGATTGGGCTGTTTGGATACAAGATCTTTATAGAATCTGCAAAGAGATATTTGAAAGCACCGTTAGGCCTATGGTAGAAAATGAAATATATTTGGATAAAAACTAGAAAGAAGCTTTTTGAGAAAATGTTTTGTGATGTGTCCATTCATCTCACAGAGTTAAACCTTTCTTTTGACTGAGCAGTTTGGAAACACTGTCTTTTTATTAACTGCTTAGCGATATTTCATAGTGCAAAAAAAGCCTATGGTGAAAAAGGAAATATCTTCAGATAAAAAGTGGAAAGTAGTGTTATGAGAAACTGCTTTCTGATATGTCCGTTCACCTCACAGATTGAGGTCTTTCTTTTGATGGAACAGTTTGGAAACACTGTTTTTGTAGAACCTGCGAAGGGATATTTGGGGGTGCATTGAGGCCTAAGATGGAAAAGAAAATATCTTCATTGAAGAACTAGATAGAAGCTTTCTGATAAACTTCTTTGTGATGTATGCATTCATCTCACAGAGTTAAACCTTTCTTTTGTTTGAGCATTTTGAAACGCTGTTTTTATAGAGTCTGCAAAGGTATGTTTGGGGGCAAACTGAAGCCTACAGTGAAAAAGGAAACACCTTCAGATAAAAACTAGAAAGACGTTTTTGAGAAACTTCTCTGTGATGGGTGCACTCAGCTCACAGATTTAAACCTGTTTTTTGATTGAGCAGTTTTGAAACACTGTTTTTGAAGAATCTGTGAAGGGATAATTGGGAGCACATTGAGGCCTATGGTGGAAAAGGAAATATCTTCAGAGAAGAACTAGATAGAAAGTATCTGAGAAACTGCTATGTTACGTATGCATTCATCTCAAAGAGTTAAACCTTTCTTTTGATTGAGCTGTATGGAAACACTGTGTTTGTAGTATCTGTCAAGGTATATTTGGGCGCACCCTGAGGCCTATGTTGAAAAAAATATCTTCAAATAAAAACTAGAAAGAAGCTTTCTGAAAAACTGCTTTGTGATGTGTGCATTAAAGTCACAGAGTAAACGTGTTTTTTGATTGAGGAGTTTGGAAACACTGTTGTTGTAGAATCTGCGATGGGATATTTGGGAGCACATTGAAACCTATGGTGATAAAGAAAATATCTTAGGATAAAAACTACAAAGAAGTATTTTGAGAAACTGCTTTGTGATGTGTGCATTCCTCTCACAGAGTTAAAGATGTTTTTTGATGCGGCAGTTTGGACTTACTGTTTTTTTTGTGGAATCTGCAAAGGGATATTTGGGAGTGCACTGAAGCCTATGGTGAAATGGAAATATCTTCAGATAAAAACTAGAAAGAAGCTTTTTGAGAAAACATGTTTGTGCTGTATGCATTTATCTCAGAGTTTAACATTTCTTTTTCTGAGCAGTTTGAAAACACTGTTTTTGTATAATCTGCAAAGCATTGTTAAGTAGCACAAAAATACCTATGGACAATAAGGAGATAACTTCAGATAAAAACTGGAAAGAAGCATTATGAGAAACTGCTTTCTGATGTGTGCTTTCATCTCACAGAGATAGTTCCTTCTTTTGATGGAAAAGGTCAGGAACACTGTTTTCATAGCATCTGCAAAGAGATATTTGGGTGGGCATTAAGGCCTAGGGTTTAAAAGCAAATATCTTCGGAGGAGAACAAAACATAAGGCATCTGATAAATTGCTTTTAGCTGTGTGCATTCATGTCACAGAGTTAAACCTTTCTTTTGACTGAGCAGTTTGGAAACACTGTTTTTGTAGAATCTGCAAAGTCATATTTGGGAGCTCACAGAGGCCTACAGTGAAAAAGGAAGTAGCTTTAGATAAACACTAGAAAGAAGCTTTTTGGGAAACTGCTTTCTGTTGTATGCGTTCATCTCATAGATTTAAACCTTACTTTTGACTGAACAGTTTGGAGACACTGTTTTTCCAAAATCTGAGAAGCGATATTTGGTAGTGCAAAAAAGCCTATGGTGAAAAAGAAAATATCTTCAGATAAAAACTGGAAAGAAGGGTTATGAGAAACTGCTTCCTAATGTGTGTGTTCATCTCCCAGAATTTAATCCTACTTTTGATGGAATGGTTAGGAAACACTGTTTTTGTAGAATCTGTGAAGGGATATTTGCGAACCCATGGTTCAACCTATGGTTGAAAAGGATATGTCTTCAGAAAAGAACTAGACAGGAGATTTCTGATAAACTGTTTTGTGATGTGTGTATTCATCTCACAGAGTTACACCTTTCTTTTGGTTGATAAGTTTTGAAACACTGTTTTTGTAGAATCTGCAAAGGAATATTTGGGAGTGCATGAGGCCTATGGTGAAAAAGGAAATAACTTCAGATAAAAACTACAAGGAAGTTTTCTGCAAAACTGTTTTGTGATCTGTGTATTCTCATCACAGTTTTAAAAGTTTCTTTTGATTGAGCAGTTTGGAAACACTGTTTTTGTAGAATCTGCAAAGGGATATTTGGGAGTGCACTTAGGCCTTTCTTGAAAAAGGAAATATCTTTGGATAAAAACTAGAAAGAAGCATTTTGAGAAACTGCTTTGTGATGTGTGCATTCATCTCACAAAATTAAGCCTTTTTTTTGATTGGGCAGTTTGAAAACACTGTTTTTGTGGAATCTGCAATGGGATATTTCAGTACACATTGAAACCTATGATGGTAAAGGAAATATTTTTGGATAAAAACTAGAAAGAAGCTTTTAGAGAAGTTGCTTTGATGTGTGCCTTCATCTCACAGAGTTAAAATTTTCCTTTGACTGAGCAGTTTGGAAACACTGTTTTTGCAGAATCTGCCAAGCGATATATGGAGTGTAAAAAGGGCTATGGTGAAACCAAGATGTCTTGAATTCAAAACTGGAAAGAAGTGTTATGAGAAACTGCTTTCTGATGTGTGCGTTCATCTCACAGAGTTAAGTCCTTCTTTTGATGGAACAGTTTGGAAGCACTGTTTTTGTACAATCTGCGAAGCGATATTTGGGAGTGTATTCAGGCCTATGGTGGAAAGGAAATATCTTCAGAGAAGAACTAAACAGAAGGTTTCTGCAAAACTGCTTGGTGATGTGTGCATTCATCTCACACAGTGAAACCTTTCTTTTGATTGAGCAGTTTGGAAACACTGTTTTTGTAGAATCTGCGAAGAAATATTTGGGAGCAAATTGAAGCCTATGGTGAAAAAGGAAATATCTTCATACAAAAACTAGAAAGACGCTTTTTGAGAAGCTGCTTTGTGACGTGTGCATTCATCTCACAGAGTTACACCTTTCTTTTGGTGGATAAGTTTGGAAACACCGTTTTTGTAGAATCTGCAAAGGGATATTTGGTAGTGCATGAGGCATATCGTGTAAAAGGAAATAACTTCAGATAAAAACTAGAAAGAAGCTTTCTGAGCAACCGCTTTGTGAGGTGTGCATTTTTCTAACAGAGTTAAGTATTTCTTTTGTGTGAGCAGTTTTGAAACACAGTTTTTCTAGAATCTGCAAAGGGATATTTGAGAGCGCACTGATGCCTATGGTGAAAAAGGAAATAACTTTGAAAAAAATAGAAAGAAGCTTTTTGAGAAACTGTTTTGTGAAGTGTGCATTCGTTTCACAGGGTTAAACTTTTATTTTGACTGAGCAGTTTGGAAACACAGTTTTGCTGGAATCTGCAAAGGGATATTGGGAGTGAACTGATGCCAATGGTTCACAAAGAAGTTTTTGTGCAACTCCTTTGTAATGTATGCATTCAACTCTCAGAATTAAGCTTTTCTTTTGACTGAGGAGTTTGGAAACACTGTTTTTGTACAGTCTGTGAAGCGATATTAACTCATACAAAAAGGCCTGTGATGAACAAGGAATTACCTTCAGATAAAAAATGGAAGAAGGGTTATGAGAAACTGCTTTCTGATTTGTGCTTTCATCCCACAGAATTAAATCATCCTTTTGGTGGAAGAGCTCAGAAACACAGTTTTTACAGAATCTGCAAAGGGATATTTGGGAGCACTTTGAGGCTTATGGTGGAAAAGGAAATGTCTTCAGAGAAGATCTAGAGAGAAGCTATCTGAGAAACTGCTTTGTGATGTGCGCATTCACCTCACAGAGTTAAACCTTCCCTTCAAGCAGTTTTTGAAACACTGTTTTTGTCAAATCTGCAAACATATATTTGGGAGAGCATTGAGGCTTATGGTGAAAAAGTAAATATCTTTAGATAAAAACTAGAAGGAATCTTTTGGAGAAACGGCTTTGTGATGTGTGCCAAATTGAAATTTGGAGATTTAAACATGTTTTTTTAATTTTTGTTTGAGCAGTTTGGAAACAATGTTTTCGTAGGATCTGCAGTGGGGTATTTGGGAGAACATTGAAGCCTGTGGTGATAAAGGAAATATCTTAGAATAAAAGCTAGAAAGAATCTTTCTGAGAAAGTGCTTTGTGATGTGTGCACTCGTCTAAATGAGATAAACCTTTCTTTTGACTGAGCAGTTCGGAAACACTGTTTTTGAAGAATCTGTGAAGGAATATTTCAGAGTGCATTGAAGCCTATAGTGAAAAAGGAAACAACTTTAGATCAAAACTAGAAAGAGTCTTTGGAGAAACCGCTTTGTCCTGTGTACATTCATCTCACAGAGTTAAAGCTTTCTGTTTAATTAGCAGTTTGGAAACACTGTTTTTGTAGAATCTGTGAAAGGATATTTGGGAGCACAATTTGCCTGTGGTGATACATGAAATATCTTCAGATAAAAACTAGAAAGAAGCCTTTTGATAAACTGCTTTGTGATGCATATATTAGTCTCAAAGAGTTAAATCCTTCTTTTTATGAAAGTGTTCAGAAACACTGTTTTTATAGAATCTGCGAAGGGATATTTGGGAACACACGACACCCATGGTGAAAAACGAAATAACTTCAGATAAAAACTAGAAAGAAGCTTTCTGAGAAACTGCTTTGTGATGGGTGCATTCTTTTCACAGTGTTAAACGTTTCTTTTGATTGAGCAGTTTGCAAATACTGTTTTTGTGGACACTGCAATGGGATATTTGGGAGCACACTGATGCCTATGGTGAAAAAGGAAATTTCTTTGGATAAAAACTAGAAAGAACCTTTTTGAGAAAAAGCTTGGCAATCTATGCATTCATCTCCCAGTGTTAAACTTTTCTTTTGACTGAGGAGTTTGGAAACACTGTTTTTGTATAATCTTTGAAGCAATGTTATGTAGCAAAAAAGGCCTATTTTGAACAAGGAAATATCTTCAGATAAAAACTGGAAAGACGTGTTATGAGAAACTGCTTTTTGATGTGTGCAATCATCTCACAGATGTAAATCCTTCTTTTGATGGAACATTTTGGAAACACTGTTTTTATAGAATCTGCAAAGTGATATTTGGGATTGAATTTAGGACTATGGTAGAAAAGGAAATACCTTCAGAGAAGAACTATAGAGAAGCTATCTGAGAAACTGTTTTGAGAAGTGGGGCTTCAGCTCACAGAATTTAACCTTTGTGTTGATTGAGCAGTTTGGAAACACTGTTTCTATAGAATCTTCCAAGTTATTTTTGGGATCACACTGATGCCTATGGTGAAAAAGGAAATATCTCCAGATAAAGAGTAGAAGACAGCTTTTTTGAGAAACTTCTTTGTGATGTGCGTATTCAACTCACAGAGTTAAACTTGTTTTTTGTATCAACAGTTTGGAAACACTGTTTTTGTAGAATCTGCAGTGGGATATTTGTGAGCCCACTGAAGACTATGGTGATAAAGAAATATCTTTGGATAAAAAATGGAAACAAGCGTTATGAGAAACTGCCTTCAGATGTGTGCGTTCATCTCAGAGTTAAGTTCTTCTTTTGGTCTAACAGTTTGGAAACATTGTTTTTATAGAATCTGTGAAGGGATTTTTGGGAGCTCATAGAGGCCTAAGGTGGAAAAAGAAATATAGTCTGAGGAGAACTAGACAGAAGCTTTCTGAGAAACTGATTTGTGACGTGTGCATTCATCTCACAGAGTTAAACCGTTGTTTTGATAGAGCAGTTTGGAAACCCTGTTTTTGTAGATTCTGCAAGGGGATATTTGGGAGCCCATTGAGACCTATGGTGATAAAGGAAATATGTTCGGACAAAAATTAGAAAGAAGCCTTTTGAGAAACTGCTTTGTGATTTGTGCATTCATCTCATAGAGTTAACCCTTTCTTTTGAATGAGCAGTTTGTAAACACTGTTTTTGAAAAGTCTGCAAAGTGACATTATGTAGCACAAAAAAGGCTATGTAGAACGGGGAATATCTACAGATAAAAATTGGAAAGATACGTTGTGAGATACTGTTTTCTGATGTGTAAGTTAATCTCACAGTGTTAAGTGCTTTTTTTGATGGAAGAGTTTGTAAATACTGTTCTTTTTAGAATATGCAAAGGGATATTTGGGAGCGCAAAGAGGCCTATGGAGGAAAACAAAAGTCTTCAAAGAAGAACTAGACAGAAGCTTTCTGAGAAAATGCTTCGTGATGTGTGCATTCATCTCACAGAGTTAAACCTTTTTTGATTGATCATTTTGGAAACACTTTTTGTAGAATCTGCAAAGGGATATTTGGGAGTGCACGAGGTCTATGGTGAAAAAGGAAATAACGTCAGATTAAAAACTAAAAAGAAGCTTTTTGAGAAACTGCTTTGTGATATGTGCAATCATCTCACAGAGTTAAACCTTTCTTTTTATAGAGTAGCTTGGAAACACTGTTTTTGTATAACCTACGAAGTGACATTAGGTAGCACAAAGAGGCCTATACTGAAAAAGGAAATATCTTCAGATAAAAACTGGAAGGAAGCTTCTGAGAAAATGATTTGTGATGTGTGCATTCATTTCAGAGTGTTAAATCTTTCCTTTGATGAAGCCTTTCAGAAACGCCCTGTTGGCAGAATGTGTGAAGAGTTATTTGGGAGTGCATTGAGGTCTACTGTGAAAAAGGAAATATCTCCAGATAAAAACCAGAAAGAAGCTTTCTGAGAAATAGCTTTCTGAGGTGTGCATTCATCTGACCGAGTGAAACCCTTCTTTTCATTGAGCAGTTTGGAATCACTGTTTTGGTAGAATCTGTGAAGGGATATTTGGGAGCTCACGGTGGCCAATGGTGAAAAAGGAAAAAACTTTGGTTAAAAACTACAAAGAGGCTTTCTGAGAAACCATTTTGTGTTGTGTGCATTCTTCTCAGGCATTTAAACATTTCTTTTGGTTGAGCAGTTTGGACACACTATTTTTGTAAAATCTGCAATGGGATATTTGATAGCAAATTTAGGCCTATGGTAAAAAAAAGGAAGTATTTTTGGATAAAAAGTAGATAGAAACAGATTGAGAAACTGATTTGTGATGTGTCCGTTCATCTCACAGAGTTAAACGTTTCCTTTCACTGAGCTGTTTGGGAACACTTTTTGCATAATCTAAAAAGTGATATTAAGTATTACAAAAAGCCTATGGTGAAAAAGGAAATAGTATCATATAAAAACAGGAAAGAAGCATTATGGGAAACTGCTTTCTGATGTGTGTGTTCATCTAACAGAGTTAAATGCTTCTTTTGATGGAAGAGTTTGGAAACACTATTTTGAAGAATCTGCCATGGGATATTTGGGAGTGCATTGAGGACTAAGGTAGAAAAGGAAATATCCTCATTGAAGAACTAGACAGAAGCTTTCTGAGAAACTGCTTTGTGATATGTGCAGTCATCTCACAGAGTTAAGCCTTTCTTTTGATTCAGCAGTGTGGAAACACTGGTTTAGAGTTTGTAAAGGGATATTTGGGAGTGCATTGAGGCCTAGGGTGATAAAGGAAGTACCTTCAGATAAACACTAGAAAGAAGCTTTTTGAGAAACTGCTTTGAAACGTGTGCATTCAACTCACAGAGTTAAACCTGTTTTTTGTTTTAGCTGTTTGGAAACACTGTTTTTGTGGGATCTGTGAAGGGATATTTGGGGGTGCATAGATGGCTATTGTGAAAAAGGAATTACCTTCATTTAAAAATTAGAAAGGAGATTTTTGAGGAACTGCTTTCTGATGTGTGCATTCATCTCACAGAGTTAAACCTTTGTTTGATAGAGCAGTTTGGAAACACGGTTTATGTATAATCTGCAAAGTGATATTATGTAGTGCAAAGAGGCCTATAGTGGAAAAGGAAATATCTTTAAATAAAAATTGGAAAGAATCTTTCTGAAACACTGATTTGTGATGTCTGCACACATTTTGAAGGGTTAAATCATTGTTTTGCTGGAGCCATTTGGTAAAACATTTTGGCAGAATCTGCGAAGGGTTATTTGGGAGCTCATTGAGGCCTATGGTGAAAAAGGTAATATCTCAAGTTAAAAACTGGAAAGAAGCTTTCTGAGAAACTACTTTGTGATGTGTGCATTTGTGTGACAGAGTTAAACCTTTCTTTTGATTGATCAGTTTGGAAAAACTGTTTTCATAGAATCTGAAAGGGAAAATTTGGGAGCACTTTGAGGCCTATGGTGAAAAAGGAAGTGAATTCAGATAAAAATTACAAAGAAGCTTTCTGAGAATCTGCTTCGTGAATTGTGAATTCTCTCACAGATTTAAATATTTCTTTGGATTGAGCAGTTTGGAAACACTATTTTTATAGAATCTGCAATGGGATACTTGAAAGCACAGATAGGCCAATTGTGAAAAGGAATTATCTTCAGATAAAAACTAGAAAGAAGCTCTTTGAGGAATTGCTATGTGATGTATGCATTCATCTCACAGAGTTAAACTTTGCTTTTGACTGAGTAGTTTGGAAACACGTTTCTGTATAATCTGCGAAAAGATGTTAGGTAGCACTGAAAGGCCTATGGTGAAGCAGGAAATATCTTCAGATAAAAACTGGAAAGATGAGTTATGAAAAACTGTTTTCTGATGAGTGCATGCATCTCACAGAGTTAAATCCTTCTTTGAAGGGACAGTTAGGAGACACTGTTTTTATGGAATCAGTGAAAGGATATTTCAGAGAGCATAGAGGTCTGTGATGGAAAAAGAAATATCTTCATTGAGGAAATAGACAGAAGCTATCTGTGAAACTGCTTTGTGATGTGTACATTCAACTCACAGACTTAAACCTTTCTTTTTATTGACCAGTTTTGAAAAACTGTTTTTGTAGAATCTGCAAGGGTATATTTGGGAGTGCACTTAAGCCTATGTTGAAAAATGAATTATCTTCAGATTAAAACTAGAAAGAAGCTTTTTGAGAAACTGCTTTGTGATGTGTGGGTTCAAGTCAGAGAGGTAAACCTGTCTTTTGATTGAGCAGTTTGGAGAAACTGATTTTGTAGAATCTGCCACGGATTATTTGGGAGAGTATTGAAGCCTAGGGTGATAAAGGAAATATCTTCAGATGAAAACTGGAAAGAAGCCTTTCGAGATGTTACTTTGTGATGTGTGCGTTCATCTCACAGAGTTAAACCTTTCTTTTGACTGAGCAGTTCAGAAACACTGTTTTTCAAAAATCTACGAAGCGATATAAAGTAGCACAAGAAAGTCTATGTGAAAAGGAAATATGTAGAGATAAAAACTGGAAAGAAGCTTTATGAGAGACTACTTTCTCATGTGTGCGTTTTTCTCACAGAGTTAAGTCCTTCTTTTGATGGAATACTTTGGAAACTCTGTTTTTGTAGGATCCACGAAGGGATATTTGAGAGTGCAATGAGACCAATGGTGGAAAAGAAAATATATTCAGAGAAAAACTAGACAGAAGCTTTCTGAGAAACTGCTTTGTGATGTGTGCATTCACCTCACAGAGTTAAAACTTTCTTTTGATTTAGCAGTTTGGAAACACTGTTTTTATAGTATCTGTGAAGGGATTTTTGAGAGCGCATTAAAGCCTATGTTGAAAAAGGAGATATCTACAGATACAAACTAGAAAGAAGCTTTTTGAGAAACTGCTCTGTGATGTGTGCATTCACCTCACAGAGATAAAACTTTCTTTTGATTTATCAGTTTGGAAACACGGTTTTTGAAGAACCTGCAAACGGATATTTGTGAGGGCATGAGGCCTATGGTGAAAGAGGAAATAACTTCAGATAAATACAAGAGAGAAGCTTTCTGAAAAACTTCTTTTTGATGTGTGCATTCTTCTCACTGAGTTATTAATATCTTTTGATTGGGCACTTTGTAAACACTGTTTTTCTAGAATCTGCAAAGGATAATTTGGAGAGCACTGATGCCAATGTTGAAAAAGGAAATATCTTCAGATAAAAACTGGAAAGAAGCTCTTTGAGAAACTGCTTTGTGATGTGTGCATTCATCTCATAGAGTTAAAATTTTCTTTTCACTCAGCTGTTTGGAAACACTGTTTTCACAAAATCTGTGAAGTGATATTATGTAGTGCAAAAAAGCATATGGTGAAAAAGTAAATATCTTCAGATAAAAACTGGAAAGAATTGTTAAGAGAAACTGCTTCCTGATGGGTGCCTTCCTCTCACAGAGTTACGTTCTACTTTTCATGGAAAAGTTTGGAAACACGGTTTTGTAGAATGCGTGAAGGGATATTTGAGAGTGTATTTAGACCTATGGTGGAAAAGGAAATATCTTCACACAAGAACTAGACAGAATCTTTATGAGAAAGTGCTTTTTGATGTGTGCATTCATCTCACAGAGTTAAACCTTTGTTTGATTGAGCAGTTTGAAAACACTGTGTTTGTAGTATCTGCAGAGGTATATTAGGGAGAACATTGAGGCCTATGGTGGATAAGGAAATCTCTTCAGAAAAGAATTAGACAGATGCTTTCTGAGAAACCGCTTTGTGATTTGTGCATTCACCTCACAGAGTTCAACTTTCCTTTTGATTGAGCAGTTTGGAAACACTGTTTTTGTAGAAACTGCGAAGGGATATTTTTGAGCACGTGAAAGCCTATGGTGAAAAAGCAAATACCTTCAGATAAAAACTGGATAGAAATGTTTTGAGAAACTGCTTTGTGATATGCACATTCTTCTCACAGAGTTAAACATTTCTTTTGAGAGAGAAATTTGCAAACATTGTTTTTGCAAAATCTGTGAAGTGATATTAGGTAGTGCAAAAAAGCCTATTGTGAGAAAGGAAATATCTTCAGATAAAAACTGGAAAGAGGCATAAGAGAAACTGCTTTCTGGTGGGTGTGTTCATCTCACAGAGTTAAGTCCTTCTTTTGATGGAACAGTTTGGAAATACTGTTTTGTAGAATCTGTGAAGGGATATTTGGGCATGCATTGAGGCATAAGGTGGAAAAAGAAATACCTTCACTGAAGAACTAGACAGAAGCTATCTGAGAAACTGCTTTGTGATGTGTGCATATATCTCACAGAGTTAAACATGTCTCTTCATTGAACAGTTTCAAAACACTGTTTTTGCAGAATCTGCTAAGGGAGTTTTGGGAGTGCAAGTGGCCTATGGTGAAAAAGGAAATAACTTCAGATAACAACTAGAAAAACTTTCTAAGAAACCGCTTTGTGATGTGTGCATTCCTTCCAAAGAGTTGAATGTTTCTTTTTTTTTTTTTTTTTTTGAGCTGTTTGGAAACACTGTTTTTGTAGAATCTGCAAAGGGATATTTGGGAGCACACTGATGCCTGTGGTAAAAAAGGAAATAACTTCGGATATAAACTAGAAAGAAGCTTTTGGGGAACCTGCTTTGTGAAGTATGCATTCATCTCACAAAATTAAGCTTTTCTTTTGACGGAGCAATTTGTAAACACTGTTTTTGTATAATCTGTGAAGTAATGTTAAGCATTGCAAAAAGGCCTATGGTGAACAGAAAATATCTTCTGATAAATACTGGAAAGAGGCGTTATGAGAAACTGCTTTCTGATGTCTGCATTTCTCTTACAGAGTTAAGTCCTTCTTTTGATGGAACAATTCGGAAACACAGGTCTTCTAGAATCTGCAAAGGGAAATTTGGGAGTGAAATGAGGCCTATGGTGGAAAAGGAAATATCTTTAGAGAAGAAAAAGACAGAAGCTGTGCGAGAAATTGCTTTGTGGTGTGTGCATTCATCTCACTGGGATAAACCTTTCTTTCGATTGAGCAGTTTGGAAACAATGTTTTTGTAGAATTTGCAAAGGTATATTTCAGAGTGTCCAGAGGCCTTCGGTGAAAAAGGAAATACCTTTGGATAAAAACTAGGAAGAAGTTTTTTGAGAAACTGCTTTGTGATGTGGGCATTGAAATCACAGAGTTAAACCAGTTTTTTGATTGAGCAGTTGGGAAACAGTCTTTTTGTAGAATCTGCCACAGGATATTTGGGAGCTCATTGAAGCCTATAATGAGAAAGGAAATATCTTTGGATAAAAAGCAGCAAGAATCATTTTGAGAAACTGCTTTTGGTTGTGTGCATTGATATCACATACTTAAACTTTTTTATGACTGAGCAGTTTGGAAACACTGTTTTTGCAAATTTGGCAAAGCGATATCAGGAAGGGCATAAAAGCTTATGGTGAACAAGGAAATACCTTCAGATAAAAACTGGAAAGACGTGTATTGAGAAACTGATTTCAGATGTGTGTGTTCATCTCACAGAGTTGTCGTTCTTTTGATGCAACAGTTTGGAAGCATTGTTTGTGTAGAATCTGCGAAGGGATATTTAGGAACGCATTGAGGCCTATGGTGTAAAAGGAAATATCTTCAGAGAAGAACTAGATCAAAACTTTCTGAGAAACTTCTTTGTGATGTGTGAATTCATCTCAAAGAGTTACACCATTCTTTTGATTGGGCAGTTTTGAAAAACTGTTTTTGTTGAATCTGAGAAGGGACATTTAGGAGTGCATTGAATCCTATGGTAAAAAAGGAAATATCTTTGGATAAAAACTAGAAATAAGCTTTTTGAGAAACTTCTTTGTGATGTGTGAATTCGCCTCACAGAGTTAAACCTGTCTTTTGATTGATCAGTTTGAAAACGCTGTTTCTGTAGAATCTGCAAAGGGATATTTGGGAGTGTATGAGGCCTATGGTGAAAAAGGAAATACCTTCATATAAAAGTAAGAAAGAAGCCTTCTGAGGGACAGCTTTGTGATGTGTGCATTCCTCCCACAGATTTAAACCTTTCTTTTCATTTAACAGTTTGAAAACACTGTTTATCTAGAATCTGCAAAGGGATATTTGGGAGCTCACTAATGCCTATGATGAAAAAGGTAATACCTTCAATAAAAGTAGAAAAATGATTTTTGAGAAACTGCTTTTAGATGTATGCATTCATCTCACAGAGTTAAACTATAATTTTGACTGAGAAGTTTGGAAACACTGTTTTTGTATAATCACCAATGCAATGTTAGGATGTGCAAAAAGGCCAATGGTGAATAAGGAATTATCATTTTTTTAAATTTTATTATTATTATACTTTAAATTTTAGAGTATATGTGCACAACGTGCAGGATTTTTACATATGTATACATGTGCCATGTAGGTGTGCTGCACCCATTAACTCGTCATTTAGTATTAGGTATATCTCCTAATGCTATCCCTACCCCCTCCCCCAACCCACAACAGTCCCCGGTGTGTGATGTTCCCATTCCTGTGTCCATGTGTTCTCATTGTTCAATTCCCACCTATGAGCGAGAACATGCAATGTTTGGTTTTCCATCCTTGAAATAGTTTGCTGGGAATGACGGTTTCCAGCTTCATCCATGTCCCTACAAAGGACATGAACTCATCATTTTTTATGGCTGCATAGTATTCCATGGTGTATATGTGCCACATTTTCTTAATCCAGTCTATCATTGTTGGGCATTTGGGTTGGTTCCAAGTCTTTGAAATTGTGAATGGTGCCGCAATAAACAGACGTGTGCATGTGTCTTTATAACAGAATGATTTACATTCCTTTGGGTGTATACCCAGTAATGGGATGGCTGGGTCAAATGGTATTTCTAGTTCTAGATCTCTGAGGAATTGCCACACCGACTTCCACAATGGTTGAACTAGTTCACAGTCCCACCGACAGTGTAAGAGTGTTCTTATTTCTCCACATCCTCTCCAGCACCTGTTGTTTCATGACTTTTTAATGATCACCATTCTAACTGGTGTGAGATGGTATCTCATTGTGGTTTTGATTTGCATTTCTCTGATGGCCAGTGATGATGGGCATTTTTTCGTATGTTTTTTGGCTGCATAAATGTCTTCTTTTGAGAAGTGTCTGTTCATATCCTTTGCCCACTTGTTGATGGGGTTGTTTTTTTTTTTTCCTTGTAAATTTGTTTGAATTCATTGTAGATTCTGGAAATTAGCCATTTGCCAGATGAGTAGGTTGCAAAAATTTTCTCCCGTGTTGTGGGTTGCCTGTTCACTCTGATGGTAGTTTCTTTTGCTGTGTGGAAGCTCTTTAATTAGATCCCATTTGTCAATTTTGGCTTTTCTTGCCATTGCTTTTGGTGTTTTAGAAATGAAGTCCTTGCCCCTGCCTATGTCCTGAAATGTATTGCATAGGTTTTCTTCTAAACATTTTATGGTTTTAGGCCTAACATGTAAGTCTTTAATCCATCTTGAATTAATTTTTGTATAAGGTGTAAAGAAGGGATCCAGTTTCAGCTTTCTACATACGGCTAGGCAGTTTTCCCAGCACCATTTATTAAATGGGGAATCCTTTCCCCATTGCTTGTTTTTCTCAGGTTTGTCAAAGATCAGATAGTTGTAGATATGCGGCGTTATTTCTGAGGGCTCTGTTCTGCTCCATTGGTCTATATCTCTGTTTTAGTACCAGTACTATGCTGTTTTGGTGACTGTAGCCTTATAGTATAGTTTGATGTCAGGTAGTGTGATGCCTCCAGCTTTGTTCTTTTCGCTAAGGATTTCCTTGGCAATGTGGGCTCTTTTTTGGTTCCATATGAACTTTAAAGTAGTTTTTTCCAATTCTGTGAAGAAAGTCATTGGTAGCTTGATGGGGATGGCATTGAATCTATAAATTACCTTGGGCAGTATGGTCATTTTCACGATATTGATACTTCCTACCCATGAGCATGGAATGCTCTTCCATTTGCTTGTATCCTCTTTTATTTCATTGAACAGTGGTTTGTAGTTCTCTTTGAAAATGTCCCTCACATCCCTTGTTAGTTGGATTCCTAGGTATTTTATTGTCTTTGAAGTAACTGTGAATGGGAGTTCACCCATGATTTGGCTGTCTGTTTGTCGGTTATTAGTGTATAAGAATGCTTGTGATTTTTGTACATTGATTTTGTATCCTGAGACTTTGCTGAAGTTGCTTATCAACTTAAGGAGAGTTTTGGCTGAGATGATGGGGTTTTCTAGATATACAATCATGTCATCTGCAAACAGGGACAATTTGACTTTCTCTTTTCCTAATTGAATACCCTTTATTTCCTTCTCCTGCCTGATTGCCCTGGCAAGAACTTCCAACACTATGTTGAATAAGAGTGGTGAGAGAGGGCATCCCTGTCTTGTGCCAGTTTTCAAAGGGAATGCTTCCAAGTTTTTGCCCATTCAATATGATATTGGCTGTGGATTTCTCATAGATAGCTCTTATTATTTTGAGATACATCCCATCAATACCTAATTTGTTGAGAGTTTTTCACATGAAATGTTGTAGAATTTTGTCAAAGGCGTTTTCTGCATCTATTGCGATAATCGTGTGCTTTATGTCTTTGGTTTTGTTTACATGCTGTATTACGTTTATTGATTTTCGTATGGTGAAACACCCTTGCATTCTAGGGATGAAGCCCACTTGATCATGGTGGATAAGCTTTTTGATGTGCTGCTGGATTCGTTTTGCCAGTATTTTATTGAGGATTTATACATCAATGTTCATCAAGGATACTTGTCTAAAATTCTCTTTTTTGGTTGTGTCTCTGCCTGGCTTTGGTATCAGGATGATTCTGGCCTCATAAAATGAGTTACGGAGGATTCCCTCTTTTTCTATTGATTGGAATAGTTTCAGAAGGAATGGGACCAGTTCCTCCTTGTACCTCTGGTAGATATCGGCTGTGAATCCTTCTGGTCCTGGACTTTTTTTGGTTGGTAAGCTATTAATTATTGCCTCAATTTCAGAGCCTGTTATTGGTCTATTCATAGATGGAACTTCTTCCTGGTTTAGTCTTGGGAGGGTGTATGTGTTGAGGAATTTATCCATTTCTTGTAGATTTCCTAGTTTATTTGCATAGAGGTGTTTATGGTATTCTCTGATGGTAGTTTGTATTTCTATAGGATCAGTGGTGATATCACCTTTATCATTTTTTATTGCATCTATTTGATTCTTCTCTCTTTTCCTCTTTATTAGTCTTGCTAGAGGTGTATCAATTTTGTTGATCTTTTCAAAAAACCAGCTGCTGGATTCATTGATTTTTTGAAGGGTTTTTTGTGTCTCTGTTTCCTTCAGTTCTGCTCTGATCTTAGTTATTTCTTGCCTACTGCTAGCTTTTGAATGTGTTTGCTCTTGCTTCTCTAATTCTTTTAATTGTGATGTTAGGGTGTCAATTGTAGATCTTTCCTGATTTCTCTTGTGGGCATTTAGTGTTATGAGTTTCCCTCTACACACTGCTTTGAATGTGTCCCAGAGATTCTGGTATGTTGTGTCTTTGTTCTCATTAGTTTCAAGGAACATCTTTATTCCTGCCTTCATTTCGTTATGTACCCAGTAGTCTTTCAGGAGCAGGTTGTTCAGTTTCCATGTAGTTGAGTTGTTTTGAGTGAGTTTCTTAATCCTGAGTTCTAGCTTGATTTCACTGTGGTCTGAGAGAGAGTTTGTTACAATTTCTGTTCTTTTACATTTGTTGAGGAGAGCTTTACTTCCAAGTATGTGGTCAATTTTGGAACAGGTGTGGTGTCATGCTGAAAAGAATGTATATTCTTTTGACTTGGGGTGGAGAGTTCTGTAGATATTGATTAGGTCCAGTTGGTGCAGAGCTGAGATCAATTCCTGGATATCCTTGTTAAATTTCTGTCCCATTGATCTGTCTAATGCTGACAGTGGAGTGTTAAAATCTCCCATTATTATTATATGGGAGTCTAAGTCTCTTTATAGGTCACTAAGGACTGGCTTTATGAATCTGGGTGCTCCTGTATTGGGTGCATATATATTTAGGATAGTTAGCTCTTCTTGTTGAATTGATCCCTTTACCATTATGTAATGGCCTTCTTTGTCTCTTTTGATCTTTGTTGGTTTAAAGTCTGTTTTATCAGAGACTAGGATTGCAACCCCTGCCTTTTTTTGTTTTCCATTTGCTTGGTAGATCTTCCTCCATCCCTTTATTTTGAGCCTATGTGTGTCTCTGCACGTGAGGTGAGTTTCCTGAGTACAGCACACTGATGGGTCTTGACTGTTTATCAAATTTTCCAGTCTGTGTCTTTTAATTGGTGCATTTAGCCCATTTACACTTAAAGTTAATATTGTTATGTGTGAGTTTGATCCTGTCATTATGATGTTAGCTGGTTATTTTGTTCGTTAGGTGATTCAGTTTCTTCCTAGCCTTGGTGGTCTTTAAAATTTGGCATGTTTTTGCAGTGGCTGGTAGCTGTTGTTCCTTTCCATGTTTATTGCTTCCTTCAGGAGCTCTTTCAGTGCTGGCCTGGTGGTGACAAATTCTCTCAGCATTTGCTTGTCTGTAAAGTATTTTGTATCTCCTTCAGTTATGAAACTTAGTTTGGCTGGATATGAAATTCTGGGTTGAAAATTCTTTTCTTTAAGAATGTTGAATATTGGCTCCCACTCTCCTCTGGCTGGTAGAATTTCTGCCAAGAGATCAGCTGTTAGTCTGATGGGCTTCCCTTTGTGGTTAACTCGACCTTTCTCTGGCTGCCCTTAACATTTTTTCCTTCATTTCAACTTTGGTGAAACTGACAATTATGTGTCTTGAAGTTACTCTTCTCGAGGAATATCTTTGTGGCATTCTCTGTATTTCCTGAATATGAATGTTGGCCTGCCTTGCTAGACTGGGGACGTTCTCCTGGATAATATCCTGCAGAGTGTTTTCCCAACTTGGTTCCATTCTCCCCGTCACTTTCAGGTACACCAATCAGACGTAGATTTGGTCTTTTCACATAGTCCCATATTTCTTGGAGGCTTTGTTCGTTTTTTTTTATTGTTTTTTTCTCTGAACTTCTCTTCTCGCTTCATTTTATTCATTCCATCTTCCATCACTGATAACCTTTCTTCCATTTGATCGCATCGGTTACTGAGGCTCGTGCCTTTGTCTTGTAGTTCTTGTGCCATGGTTTTCAGCTCCTTCAAGTCCTTTAAGGGCTTCTCTTCATTAGTTATTCTAGTTAGCCATTCATTTAATTTTTTTTCAAGGTTTTTAACTTCTTTGCCATTGGTTCAAACTTCCTCCCATAGGTCAGAGCAGTTTAATCTTCTGAAGCCTTCTTCTCAACTCGTAAAAGTCATACTCCATCCAGCTTTGTTCCATTGCTGGTGAGGAGCTGCATTCCTTTGGAGGGGGAGAAGTGCTCTGTTTTTTAGAGTTTCCAGTTTTTCTTCTCTGCTTTTTCCCCATCTTTGTGGTTTTTGTCTACCTTTGGTGATGGTGATGTACAGATGGGTTTTTGTTGTGGATTTCCTTTCTGTTTGTTAGTTTTCTTTCTAACAGTCAGGACCCTCAGCTGCAAGTCTGTTGGAGTTGGCTGGAGGTCCACTCCAGACTTTGTATGCCTGGGTATCAGAAGTGGTGGTTGCAGAACCACGTATATTGGTCAACTGTAAATGCTGTTGCCTGATCTTTCCTCTGGAAGTTTTGTCTCAGGGGAGTACTGGGCCTTGTGAAGTGTCAGCCTGCTACTACCAGGGGGTGCCTCCCAGTTAGGCTACTCAGTGGTCAGGGCCCCCTTTGAAGAGGCAGTCTGCCCATTCTCGGATCTCCAGCTGCATGCTGGGAAAACCACTACTCTCTTCAAAGCTGTCAGACAGGGACATTTAAGTCTGCAGAGGTTACTGCTGCCTTTTGTTTGTCTCTATGCTGTCCCCAGAGTTGGAGCCTACTGAGGCAGGCAGACCTCCTAGAGCTGTGGCAGTCTCCACCCAGTTCAAGCTTCCCAGCTGCTTTGTTTACCTACTCAAGCCTTGGCAAAGGTGGGCACCCCTTCTCCAGCCTCACTGCCACCTTGCTCTTTGATCTCAGACTGATTTGCTAGCAATGAGTGACACTCCTTGGGCATAGGACCCTCTGAGCCATGTGCAGGATATAATCTCCTGGTGTGCCATTGGTTAAGGCCACTGGAAAAGCACAGTATTAGGGTGGGAGTCACCCGATTTTCCAGGTGCCATCTGTCACCCCTTTCTTTGACTATAAAAGGGAATTCCCTGACCCCTTGCCCTTTCCAGAGGAGGTGATGCCTCACCCTGCTTTGGCTCTCACACAGTGGGATGCACCCACTGTCCTGCACCCACTGTCCAGCACTCCCCAGTGAGATGAGCACAGTACCTCATTTGGAAATGCAGAAATCACCCATCTTCTGTGTCACACAGGCTGGGAGCTGTAGACTGGAGCTATTCCTATTCAGCCATCTTTGAGTTCCTCTGAACAAGGAAATATCTTCAGAAAAAACTGGAAAGAAGCATTATGAGAAACTGCTTTCTGATATATTCTTTCTTCTCACAGATTTAAATCCTTCTTTTGATGGAATAGTTTAGAAACACTGTTTGTATACAATCTGCAAAAGGATATTTGGGCACATGGAAGCCTGTGTTGAAAAATGAATTATCTCCAGATATGAACTAGAAGGAATCTTTCAGAGGAACTGCTTTGTGAGGTGTGCATTCATCTCACAGAGTAAAACTTTCTTTTGATTGAGCAGTTTGGAAACAATGTTCTTGTAGAATCTACAAAGGCATAATTGAAAGCTCACTGAGACCTGTGGTGAAAAAGGAAATATCTTCGGATTAAAATTAGAAGGATGCTTTTTGATAAAATGCTTTGTGATGCATCCATTAAACTCACAGAATTAAACTGGTTTTTTGATTGGGCTGTTTTGAAATACTGTTTTTGTAGAATCTGTGAAGGAATATTTCAGTGCGCATTGAGGCCTGTGGTGGAAAGGAAATATCTATGGAGATTAACTAGACTGAAGCTTTATGAGAAACAGTTTTGTGATGTGAGTATTCATCTCACAGAGTTAAATATTTCTTTTGATTGAGCAGTTTGGACACTCTGTTTTTGTAGAATCTGTGAAGGGATGTTTTGGAGTGCATTTAAGCCTATGGTGAAAAAGGAAATTATTTCAGATAAAAACTTGAAAGAAGCTTTTTGAGAAACTGTTTTATGAAGTGTGCATTTATCTCACAGAGCTAAACCTTTCTTTTGATTGAGCAATTTGGGAACACTTTTTATGTATAATATGCTTAACAATGTTTGGTAGTGCAAAAAGGCCTATGGTGAAGAAGGAAATATCTTCAGATAAAAACTGCAAGGAAGCTTTATGAGAAACTGCTTTCTGATGGGTGTATTCATCTAACCGAGTTAAGTCCTTCTTCTGATGGAAAAGTTTGGAAACACTCTTTTTATAGAATCTGCAAAGGGATATTTTGTAGTGTATTAAGGCCTATGGTGGAATAGGAAATAACTTCAGAGAAGAACAGGACAGAAGCTTTCTGAGAAACTGCTTTGTGATGTCAGCATTAACCTCACAGAGCTAAAACTTCCGATTGAGCAGTTTGGAAAAATTGTATTTATAGAATCTGCAAAGGCATATTTGGGAGTGCATGGAAGCCTATGTTGATAAAGGAAAAATCTTCGAAAAAAACTACAAATAAGCTTTTTGAGAAACTGATTTTTGATGTGTGCATTCGTCTCACAGAGTTAAACCTTTATTTTGATTGAGCAGTTTGGAAACACTGTATTTGTAGAATCTGCAAATGGATATTTGGCAGTGCATGAGACCTATGGTGAAAAAGGAATTATCTTTGGATAAAAACTAGAAAGAAGCTATTTGAGAAACTTCTTTGTGATGTTGCATTCAACTCACAATTTTAAACCTTTTTTTAGATTGAGCAGTTTGGAAACAGTGCTTTTGTAGAATCTGCTATGGCATATTTAAGAGCGCATTGAAGCTTATGCTGATAAAGGAAATATCTTTGGATAAAAACTAGAAAGAAGCTTTTTGAGTAACTGCTTTGTGAAACATACATTCATCTCACAGTGTTAAGTTTCTTTTGACTAAGTAGTTTAGAAACACCGTGTTTGCAAAATCTCCAAAGCAATATTAGGTAGCTCAAAAATGCTAGGGTGAAAAAGGAAACATCTGCAGATAAAAACTGGAGGCCGGGTGCGGTGGCTCACGCCTGTAATCCCAGCACTTTGGGAGGCCGAGGCGGGCGGATCACGAGGTCAGGAGATCGAAACCATCCCGGCTAAAACGGTGAAACCCCGTCTCTACTAAAAATACAAAAAATTAGCCGGGCGTAGTGGCGGGCGCCTGTAGTCCCAGCTACTTGGGAGGCTGAGGCAGGAGAATGGCGTGAACCCGGGAGGCGGAGCTTGCAGTGAGCCGAGATCCCGCCACTGCACTCCAGCCTGGGCGACAGAGCGAGACTCCGTCTCAAAAAAAAAAAAAAAAAAACTGGAAAGTAGGGTTATGAAAAACTGCTTTCTGATGTGTGTGTTCATCTCACAGAGGTAAGTCCTTCTTTTATTGGAATAGCTTGGAAACACTGTTTTTTGCAAATCTGCAAAGGGATATTTGGGAGCACATTGAGGCCTATGGTGGAAAAGGGAACCAGTTCAGCCCGCTCAGAGAAGAACTAGACAGAAGCATTTTGAGAAACTGCTTTGTGATGTGGGCATTCTTATCACAGTGTTAAACAATTCTTTTCATTGAGATGTTTGAAAACACTGTCTTTGTAGAATCTGCAAAGGGATATTTGGGAATGCACGGTTGCCAATAGTGAAAAGAAATATCTTTGGATAAAAACTAGAAAAAAGCTTTTTGAGAAACTGCTTTGTGATGTATCCATTCATCTCACAGAGTTAAACTTTCCTTCTGAATGATCAGATTGGAAACAATGATTTTGCAAAATATGTGAAGTGATATTTGGTAGAGCAAAAATGCACATGGTGAACAAGGAAATATCTTCAGGTATAAACTAGAATTAAACATTATGACAAACGGTTTCTGATGTGTAGATTCATCTCACAGAGCTAAATCCTTCTTTTGATTGGAAAGTTTGGAAGCCCCGTTTTTATAGAATCTGAGAAGGGATATTTGGGAGCACATTGAGGCCTAGGTTGGAAAAGGAAATATCTTCAGAGAAAACTAGACAGAAGCTTTCTGAGAAACTGCTTTGTGATATGCGAATTCATCTCACAGAGTTCAACCTTTCTTTTGATTGATCAGTTTGGAAACACTGTTTTTGCAGATTTTGCGAAGGGATATTTGGGAGTGCATTGAAGCCTGTGGTCACAAAGGAAATATCTTTGGATTAAAAGAAGAAACAAGCTTTTTGAGAAAATGCTTTTGATATGTACATTCATCTCACAGCTTTAACCTTCTTTTTTGATTGATCAGCTTGGAAACACTGTTTTTGTAGAATCTGTGAAGGGATATTTGGGAGCACATGAGACCTATGTTGAAAAAGGAAATAACTTCAGATAAAAACTAGAAAGAAATATTCTGAGAAACTGCTTTGTGATATGTGCATTCTTCTCACAGAGTTAAACGTTTATTTTGATTGAGCAGTTTGAAAACCCTGTTTTTGTAAATCTGAATAGAGATATTTGTGAGGACCCTGATGCCTAGGGTTAAAAAGAAAATACCTTCAGATGAGAATGATCAAGAAGCTTTCTGAGAAACTGCTTTGTGATGTATGCATTCATGTCACAGATTTAAACTTTTCTTTTGAATGAGCACTTTGGAAACAAAGGTCTTATGTAATCTGTGAAGTGATGTTAAGTAGTGTAAAAAGGCCTGTGGTGAACAAGAAAATATCTTCAGATAATAACTGGAATTAAGTATTATGGGAAACTGTTTTCTGATGTGTGCATTCATCTCAAATAGTTAAATCCTTCTTTTGATGGAACAGTTAAGAAACACTGTTTTTATAGGATCTGGGAAGGGATATTTGGGAGCACATAGAGGCCTATGGTGGAAAAAGAAATATCCCCAGAGAAGAACTAGACAGAAGCTATCTGAGAAACTGCTTTTTGATATGTGCCTTCAACTCACAGAGTTAAAACTTTCTCTTGATAGAGCAGTTTGGAAACACTTTTTTGGCCGAATCTGCAAAGGTATGTTTGTGAGCACCCTGAGGTCTGTGGTGAAAAAGGAAATATCACCACATAAAAACTACAAAAAAGCTTTCTGAGAAACTGCTTTGTGATGTGAGCATTCAACTCACAGAGTTAAGCCTGTTGTTTGATTGAGAAGTTTGGAAACAGTGTCTGTGTAGAATCTTCAACTAGATATTTGGGAGTGAACTGAAGTCTGCGGTGATAAAGGAAATATCTTTGGATGAAAACTCGAAAGAAACTTTTGAGAAACTACTTTGCTCTGTGGGCATTGAACTCACAGAGTTAAATCTGTTTATTTATTGAGCAATTTGGAACTACTGTTTCTGTAGAATCTACAATGGGATTTTTTGGAGTGCATTGAAGCCTGTGGTGATAAAGAAATTATCTTTGGAAAAAAACTAGAAAGAAGGTATCTAGAAACTGCTTTGTGATGTGTGCATTCATCTCACAGAGTTAAACCTCTCTTTAGAAAGAGCAGTTTGGAAACACTGTTTTTGCAAAATCTGTCTAGCCATATTAGGTAGCATAAAAAGCCTATGGGGAATAAGGAAATATCTTCAGATAAAAACTGGAAAGAAGCATTATGAGAAACAGCTTTTGATGTGTGCATTCACCTCAAAGAGTTCAGTCCTTCTTGTGATGAAACAGTTTGGAAACACATTTTTTATAGAATCAGTTAGGGGATATTTTGGAGTGCATTGAGGCCTATGCTGGAAAAGAAATATCTTCAGAGAAGAACTAGGCAGAATCTATCTGAGAAACTGCTTTGTGATGTGCACATTCATCTCACAAAGTTAAACCTTTTGATTAATCATCAGTCTGTTAGCACTTTTTTGTAGAATCTACGTAGGCATATTTGAGAACACAATGAAGCCTATGGTGAAAATGGAAATATCTTCTGATAAAAGGTAGAAAGAAGCTTTTTGAGAAAGTGCTTTGTGATGTGTGCATTCACTTCACAGAGTTAAAACTTTCTTTTGATAGATCAGTTTGCAAACACTGTTTTTGTAGAATCTGCAAAGGGATATTTGGGAGTGCATGAGACCTATGGTGAAAAAGGAAATAACTTCAGATAAAAACTAGAAATAATCTTTCTGAGAAACCATTTTGTGATATGTGCATTCCTCTCACAGAGTTAAACTTTTCTTTTGTTTTAGCAGTTTGGAAACACCGTTTTTGTAGAATCTGCCGAGTGATATTTGGTAGTGCACTGATGCATATTGTGAAAAAGGAAATGTCTTCAGATAAAAACGAGTAAGAAGCTTTTTGAGAAACTGCTTTGTGATGTATGCATTTATGTCACAGAGTTAAACTTTTCTTTTGACTGAGCAGTTTGGAAACACTGTTTTTATATAATCTGTGAAGCAATGTTAGGTAGCGTAAAAAGAATTATGGTGAACAAGAAAATATCTTCAGATAAAAACTGGAATTAAACATTATGAGAAACTGCTTTCTGATGTGTGCATTCATCCCACAGAGTTAAATCCTCCTTTTGATGGGCCACTTCTCAAACACTGTTTTCATAGGATCTGGGAAGAGATAATTTGGTGCACATAGAGGCCTGTGGTGGAAAAGGAAATACCTTCAGAAAAGAACTAGACAGAAGCTATCTGAGAAACTGATTTGTGATGTGTACATTCATCTCACATAGTTAAGCTTTTCTTTTGGTTCAGCAGTTTGGAAACACTGTTTTTCTAGAATCTGCAAAGGTATATTGGGGTGCACCCTGAGGCCTATGATGAAAAAGGAAATCTTTCACATAAAATTACAAAGAAGCTTTTTGAGAAACTGCTTTGTGTTGTGCATGTTCAACTCACAGAGATAAATCTGTTTTTTGATTGAGCAGTTTGGAAATACTGTGAAGGATATGCAACAAGATATTTGGGAGTGCTTTGAAGTCTATTGTGATAAAGGAAATATCTTTGGGTAAAAACTAGGCAGAAGCTATCTGAGAAAGATCTTTGTGATTTGTGCATTCATCTCACAGGGTTAAACCTTTCTTTTGATTGAGCAGTTTGGAAACACTGTTTTGTAGAATCTGGAAAAGGATTTTTGGGAACACATAGAATCCTATGATGAAAATGGAAATATCTTCAGATAAAAACTAGAAAGAAGCTTTTTGAGAAACTGCTTTGTGATGTATGCATTCATCTCACAGAGTTAATATTTTCTTTTGACTGATCAGTTTGGAAACACTGTTTTTGCATAAGCTGCAAAGTGATGTTTGGTAGTGCAAAAAGGCCTATGGTGAACAAGGAATATCTTCAGATAAAAATTGGAAAGAAGCATTAAGAGAAACTGCTTTCTGATGTCTGGGTTCATCTCATATAGTTTAATACTTCTTTAATGGAACAGTTCAGAGACACTGTTTTTATAGAATCTGTGAAGGGATATTTGGGAGCGCATTAAGGGCAGTGGTGGAAAAGGAAATATCTTCAGAAAAGAACTAGACAGAAACTATCTGAGAAACGGTGAAGTTATGTGTACATTCATCTCACACAGTGAAAACTTTCTTTTATTGGGCAGTTTGGAAACACTGTGTTTGTAGTATCTGCAAAGGTCTATTTTGGCATGCACTGAGGCGTATTCTGAAAAAAGAAATATCTTCGAACAAAAACTAGAAAGAAGTTCTTTGACAAAGTGCCTTGTGAAGTGTGTGTTCTACTCACAGGGTTTAACCTGTTTTTTGATTGAGCAGTTTGAAACAGTGTTTTTGTAGAATCTGCAGTGGGATATTTGGGAGTGCATTAAAGCCTATGGTGATAAAGGAAATATCTTCAGATAAAAACTAGAAAGAAGCATGTTGAGAAACTGCTTTGTGATGTGTGCATTCATCTCACAGAGTTAAACTTTTCTTTTGACTGAGCAGTTGGGAAACATTGTTTTTGCAAAATGTGTGAAACAATATTATGTAGTGCAAAAAAGCCTATGGTGAAAAAGGAAATATCTTCAGATAAAACTGGTAAGAAGAGTTATGAGAAACTACTTTCTGATGTGTGCATTCATCTCACAGAGTTAAGTCCTTCTTTGGATGGAACAGTTTGGAAACAGTTCTTTAGATCTGCTAAGGGCTGTTTGGTAGTGCATTGAAGCCTATGGTGAAAAGGAAATATCTTCAGATAAAAACTGGAAAGAAGCTTTCTGAGAAACAGATTTGTGACGAGTGCATTCATTTCAAAGTGTTAAATCTTTCCTTTGATGGAGCCCTTTGGAAACTCCCTTTTGGCAGAATCTGCAAAGTGTTATTTGGGAGCACATTGAGGCCTATGATGAAAAAGGAAATATCTTCAGATAAAAACCAGAAAGAAGGTTTCTGAGAAACTGCTTTCTTATGTGTGCTTTCTTCTGACAGACTGAAACCTTTCTTTTGATTGAGTATTTTGGAAACAATGTTTTAGTAGAATCTGCGAAGAGATATTTGTGCATGCACTGTGGCCCATGGTGAAAAAGGAAATAACTTCGGATAAAAACTATGAAGAAAATTTACAAAAACTGCTTTGTGATGTGTGCATTCTTCTCACAGATTTAAAATTTCTTTTGATTGAGCAGTTTGGAAACACTATTTTTGTAGAATCTGTAAAGGGATATTTGAAAGCACAGTTAGGCCTATGGTGAATAAATGAATATATTTGAATAAAAACTAGAAAGAAGTTATTGAGAAATTGCTTTGTGGTGAGTCCATTCATCTCACAGAGTTAAAACTTTCTTTTGACAGAGCAGTTTGGAAACACTGTTTTTGTAAAATCTGCAAGAGATATTAGGTAGCTCAAAAAAGCCTATGGTGAAAGAGGAAGTATCTTGATATAAAAGCTAGAAAGAAGCATTATGAGAAACTGCTTTCTGATGTGTGTGTTTGTCGAACAGATTTAAGTCCTTATTCTGAAGGAACAGTTTGGAAACACTGTTTTTGTTAAGTCTGCGAAGGTATATTTGGGAGTGCATTGATGCCTAAGCTGGAAAAGTAAATAGCTTCATTGAAGAACTAGAAAGAAGCTTTCTGAGAAACTGCATTGTGATGTATGCAATTATCTGACAGAATTAAACCTTTCTTTTGATTGAGCAGTTTAGAAACACCAGTTTTGTAGGGTCTGCAATGGGATACTTGGGAGCGCTTTGAAGCCTAAGGTAAAAAAGGAATTATCTTCAAATAAAAACTAGAAAGAACTTTTTGAGAAACTTCTTTGACACGTGTGCGTTCAACTCACAGAGTTAAACCTGTTTTTTGATTGAGCAGTTTGGAAACAGTTTTTTTGTAGGATATGGAAGGGATATTTGGGATCACATAGAAGGCTTTGGTGAAAAAGGAAATATCTTCAGATAAAAATTAGAAAGAAGCTTTTAGAGAAACTGCTTTCTGATGTGTGCATTCATCTCACAGAGATAAACCTTTTCTTTTGATAGAGCAGTTTGGAAACACTGTTTTTGTATAATCTGCAAAGTGATATTAGATACCACAAAGAGGCCTATAGTGGAAAAGGAAATATGTTCAGATAAAAACTGGAAAGAATCTTTCTGAGACACTGATTTGTGAGGTTTGCATACATTTCACAGTGTTAGATATTTCATTTGCTGGAGCCATTAGGAAACACCTCTTTGGCAGAATCTGTGAATGGGTACTTGGGATCTGAGTGAGGCCTACCATGAAAAGGTAATATCTTCAGATAAAAACTAGAAAGAAGCTTTCTGAGAAACTACTTTGTGATGTGTGCATTCATCTCACAGGGTTAAAACTTTCTTTTGACTGAGCAGTTTGGAAAAACTCTTTGGTAGATCTGCAAGTGGATATTTAGGAGTGCACTGGGGCCTATGGTGATAAAGGAAAAAAATTTCAGACAGAAACTACAGAGAATCTTTCTGAGTAACCACTTTGTGATGTGTGCATTCTTTTCATAGATTTAAACCTTTATATAGATTGAGGTGTTTGGAAACACTGTTTTTATAGAATCTGCAATGGGATACTTGAAAGCACAGTTAGGCCAATGGTGAAAAAGGAAATATCTTCAGATGAAAACTAGAAATCAGCATTATGACAAATTGCTTTTTTGATGTGTACATTCTTCTCACAGAATTAAAAGTTTGTTTTGATTGAGCAGTTCAAAAACACTGTTTTTGTAGAATCTGCAAAGGGATATTTTGGAGTACGTTGATAAATATGGTGAAAAAGGACATATCTTCAGATAAAAAGTAGAAAGAAACTCTTTGAGCAACTTCTTCATGATGTATGAATTCATTTCACAGAGTTAACTTTTTTTTGACTGAGCATTTTGGAAACACTGTTTTTGTATAATCAGTGAAGTGATTATAGGTAGCTCAAAAAGGCCTAAGGTGAACAGGGAAATATCTTCACCTAAAAACTGGAAAGAAGGCCGGGCGCGGTGGCTCACGCCTGTAATCCCAGCACTTTGGGAGGCCGAGGCGGGCGGATCACGAGGTCAGGAGATCGAGACCATCCTGGGTAACACAGTGAAACCCCGTCTCTACTAAAAATACAAAAAATTAGCCGGGCGTGGTAGCGGGCGCCTGTAGTCCCAGCTACTCGGGAGGCTGAGGCAGGAGAATGGCGTGAACCCGGGAGGCGGAGCTTGCAGTGAGCCGAGATCGCGCCACTGCACTCCAGCCTGGGCGACAGAGCGAGACTCCGTCTCAAAAAAAAAAAAAAAAAAAAAAAAAACTGGAAAGAAGTGTTATCAGAAACTGTTTTCTGAAGTGTGCATTCATCTCACAGAGTTAAGTCCTTCTTTGGTGGAACAGTTTGGAAACACTGTTCTGTAGAATCTGTGAAGGGATATTTGGGGGTGAATTGAGGTCTATGGTAGAAAAGGAAATATCTTCAGTGAAGAGCTAGAAAGAAGCTTTCTTTGAAAATGCATTGTGATGTGTGCATTCAGGTAAGAGTTAAACCTTTCTTCTGATTGATCAGTTTGGGACACTGTTTTTGTAGAATCTGCAAAGGGATATCTGGGAGCTCATTGAAGCCTATGGTGAAAAGGGAAATATCTTTGGATAAAAACAAGAAGGAAACTTTTTGAGAAATTGCTTTGTCATGTGTGCATTCATCTCACAGAGTTACACCTTACTTTTGATTGATCAGTTTGGAAACACTGTTTTTGTAGAATCTGTGAAGGGATATTTGGGACCACACAAAACCTATGGTGAAAAAGGAAATAACTTCAGATAAAAACGAGAAAGAAACTTACTGAGAAACCACTTTGTGATGTGTTCATCCTTCTCACAGAGATAAAAGTTTCTTTTGATTGAGCAGTTTGAAAACACTCTTTTCATAGAATCTGTGAAGATATATTTGGGAGTGCACTTGTGCCGATTGTGGAAAAGGAAATGTCTTCGGATAAAAAATGGAAGGAAGCTTTCTGAGAAACTGCTTTGTGATGTGTGTATTTGTCTCACAGTGTTAAACATTTCCTTTGATGGAGCACTTCGGAAACACTGCTTTTGCAAAATCTGTGAAACAACATTAGGTGGTGCAAAGAACCCTATCATGAAAAATGAAATATCTTCAGAGATAAACTGGTAAGAAGCATTATGAGAACCTGCTTTCCAATGCATGAATTCATCTAACAGAGTTAAGTCCTTCTTTTCATGGAACAGTGTGGAAAAAATATTTTTGTAGAACCTGCGAAGGGATATTTAAGAGAGCTCAAGGCCTTTGGTGGAAAATAAAATATTTTCTGATAAGAACAAGACTGAAACTTTGTGAGAAAATGCTTTGTGATGTGTGCATTCATCTCACAGAGTTAAAACTTTCTTTTGATTGAGCATTTTGGAAACACAGCTTCTGTAGAATCTGCAAAGGGATATTTTGGAGTGCACTAAGGCCAATGGTGAAAAAGGAATATCTTCAGATAAAAACTAGAAATAAGCTTTTTGAGAAACTGCCTGGTGATGTGTGCATTCATCTCACAGAGTTAAACTTTTCTTTTGATAGAGCAGTTTGGAATCACTGTTTTTGTATAAACTGTGATGTGATATTAGGTAGCACAAAGAAGCCTATGGTGAAAAAGAAAATATCATTCAATAAAAAGTGGAAGGAAGCTTACTGGGACACTGATTTGTGATATGTGCATTCATTTCACAGTGATAATCTTTCCTTTCATGGAGCCATTTGGAAACACCCTTTTGGCAGAATCTGCAACATGTTATTTTATAGCGCATTCAAGCCTACAGTGAAAAAGGAAATATGTCCAGATAAAAACTAGAAGGAAACTTTCTGAGAAACTGGTTTGTGATGTGTGCATTCATCTCACAGAGTTAAATCTTTCTTTTAATTGTTCAGTTTGGAAACACTGCTTTTGTAGAAACTGCGAAGGGATATTTGGGAGTACATGAGGCCTATGGTGAAAAAGGAAATAACTTCAGATAAAAACTAGGAAGAAGCTTTCTGAGAAACTGCTTTGAGATGTATGCATTCATCTCGCAGTGTTAAACTTTTGTATTGACTGAGCAGTTTGGTAACACCATTTTTCTATAGTCTGTGAAGCAATGTTTTGGAGTGCAAAAAGTCCTATGGTGAACAAGGAAATATCTTCAGATAAAAACTGGAAAGAAGCGTTAGGAGAAGGAAACTGCTTTCTGATGTCTGCGTTCATCTCACAGAGTTAAGTCCTTCTTTTGAAGGAACAGTTTGGAAACACTTTTTTTTGTAGAATCTGTGAAGGGATGTTTGGGAGCACATTAAGGACTGTGATGAAAAAGGAAATATATTCGGATAAAAATTAGAAACAAGATTTGTGAGAAAATTATTTGTGATATTGGGTTGAACTCACAGTGATAAACCTGTATTTTGATAGAGCAGTATGGCAATGCTGTTTTTGTAACTCTGTGACTGGATATTTGGGAGCATATTGAAGCCTATGGTAACAAAGGAAATATCTTTGGATAAAAACTAGATAGAAGCTTTTTGAGAAACTGCTCGGTGATGTGTGCATTCATCTCACAGTGTTAAACCTTGCTTTTGATTGAGCACTTTGGAAACACTGTTTTTGTGGAATCTGCAATGGGATATTTGGAAACGCAGTTAGGCCTATGGTGAAAAAGGAAATATCTTTGGATAAAAACAAGAAAGAAGCTTTTTGAGAAACTGCTTTTTGACGTGTGCATTCATCTCACAGATTTAAGCCATTCATTTGAGTGAGCAGTTTGGGAACAGTCTTTCTGGGTAACGTGTGAAGTGATTTTTAGTAGATCAAAAATCTCGGATGAGAAAAGAAACATCTTCAGTTAAAAACTGGAAAAAAGCATTATTAGAAACTGGTGTCTGCTGTGTGCATTCATCTCACAGGGTTAAGTCCTTCTTTTGATGGAACACTTTGGAAACACTGTTTTTGTAGAATCTGCGAAGTGATGTTTGGTAGCAAATTGAGGCCTATGGTGGAAAAAGAAATATTGTCGGAGAAGAAATAGACAGAAGCTTTCTGAGAAACTGCCTTTTCATGTCTGCATTCATCTCTCAGAGTTCAAATTTCTTTTCATGAGCCTTTTGGAAACACTCTTTTTTTAGAATATGTGAAAGGATATTTGGGAGTGCATTGAAGCCTATGGTCAAAAAGGAAATATCTTCAGATAAAAACTAGAAAGAAGCTTTTTGAGAACCTGCTTTGTGATGTGTGTATTCATGTTACAGAGTTAATCCTTTCTTTTGATTGAACAGTTTGGAAACACTGTTTTTGCATAATTTGCAAAGCAATATTTGGCAGCACAAAAAAGCCTACGGTGAATGAGGAAATATCTTCGAATAAATACTGGAAAGAAGAGTTATGAGAAACTGCTCTCTGATGTGTGTGTTCTTCACACAGAGTTAAGTCCTTCTGTTGAAGGAGCAGTTTGGAAACACTGTTTATATGGAATCTGTGAAGGGATATTTGGGAGAGCATTGAGGCCTATGGTGGAAAAGGAAATATCTTCAGAGAAGAAATACACAAAGCTTTCTGAGAAACTGCATTGGATGTGTTCATTCATCTAACAGAGTTAAGCTTTTCTTTTGACTGAGCAGTTTGGAAACACTGTTTTTGTATGATCTGCGAAGTGAGATTAGATAGTGCAAAAAGGCCTATGGTGAATGAGGAAATTTCTTCAGATAAAAACTGGAAAGAGGCATTCTGAGAAACTGCTTTGTGATGTGTGCCTTCACCTCAAAGATTTAAATCCTTCTTTTGATGGAACAGTTCAGAAACACTGTTTTCATAAAATCTGCAAAGGGATATTTGGGAGTGCTTTGGAGCCTATGGTGGAAAAGGAAATATCTTCAGAGAAGAACTAGACAACATTTATCTGAGAAGCTGCTTTGTGATGTGTGCATTCACCTCACAGAGGTAAAACCCTCTATTGATTGAGCAGCTTGGAAACACTGTTTTTGTAGAATCTGCAAGGTATATTTGGGATTGCACTGTGGCCTATGGTACAAAAAGGAAATATCTTCAGATAAAAAATAGAAAAAAACATTTTTGAAAAACTGCTATGTGGTGTGTGCATTCAACTCACAGAGTTAAACCTGTTTGTTGATGGAGCTGTTTGGAAACTCTGTTTTTGTAGAATCTGCGAAGGGATATTTAGGAGTGCAGTGAGGCCCAAGGTGGAAAAATAAATGTCTTCAGAAAAAAACTAGACAGAAGCTTTCTGAGAAACTGCTTTGTGATGTGTGCATTCTTCTCACAGAGTCAAATCTTTCTTTTGATTCAGCAGTTTGGAAACACTGTTTTTGTAGAATCTGCAAAGGTATCTTTGGGAGGACATTGAAGCCTATGTTGAAAAAGGAAATATCTTTGGATAAAAACTAGAAAGAAGCTTTTTGAGAAACTGCTTTCTGATGTGTACATTCATCTCACAGAATTAAAACTTTCTTTTGATTGAGCAGTTTGGAGACACTGTTTTTGCAAAACCTGCCAAGTAATATTAGGTTATGCATAAAAGCCTATGGTGAAAAAGAAAATATCCTCAGATAAAAACTGGGAAGAAGCGTTATGAGAAACTGATTTCTGATGTGTGTTTCCATGTCCCAGTTCAGTACTTCTTTTAAAGGAACAGTTTGAAAACACTGTTGTTGTACAATCTGTGAAGGGATATTTCAGAGCCCACAACTATGGTGGAAAAGGAAATAACTTCAGAAAAAATCTTGAATGAATCTTTCCATGAAACTGACTTGTGATGTGTGCTGTCACACAGAGTTAAACATTTCTTTCAATTGAACTGTTTGGAAACACTGTTTTTGTGGAATATGCAAAGGGATATTTGGGAGCACACTGAGGCCTGTTGTGAAAAAGGAAATATTTTCAGATAAAATCTACAAAAAGCTTTTTGAGAAACTATTTTGTGATGTGTGCATTTAACTTACAGAGTTAAACTTGTTTTTGATTGAGCAGTTTGGAAACACTGTTTTTGTAGAAGCTGCGACCATATATTTTGGAGCACATTGAAGCCTTTTGTGATAAAGAATATATCTTTGGATAAAAACTTGAAACCTTTTTGAGAAACTGCTTTGGGGTCTGTGCCTTCATCTCATAGAGTTAAACCTCTCTTTTGACTGAGCAGTTTGGAAACACCGTTTTTGCAAAACCTATGAAATGATATTAGGTAGTGCAAAAAATCCTATGGTAAACAAGGAAATAACTTCAGATAAAAATTAGAAAGAAGCATTATGAGAATCTGCTTTCTGATGTGTGCATTCATCTCACAGAGTTGTCATTCTTTTGATGGAAGAGTTTGGAAACACTGTTTTCGTACAATCTGCAAAATGATATTTGAGAGCACATTGAGTTCTATGGTGGAAAAGGAAATGTCCTCAGATAAGTACTAGACAGAAATTTTCTGAGAAAATTCTTTGTGATGTGTGTGTTCATCTGGAAGAGTTATACCATTCGTTTCACTGAGGAGTTTGGAAACACTGTTTTTGTAGAATCTATGAAGGGATATTTGGGAGTGCACTGAAGCCTTTGGTGAAAAAAAAATGTCTTCAGAAGAAACTGGAAAGAAGCATTAGAGAAACTGCTTTGTGACGTGTGTTTCATCTCAAAGAGTTAAAACTTTCTTTTGATTGATCAGCTTGGAAACACTGTTTTTGTAGAATCTGTGAATGGATATTTGGAACACACGAGGCCAATGGTTTAAATAGAAATAACTTCAGATAAAAACAAGAGAATATTTCTGAGAAAATGATTTGTGAAGTGAGCATTCTTCTCTCAGATTTAAAGGTTACTTTTGATTGAGCTGTTTGGAAAAACTGGCTTGGTAGAATCTGCAAAAGGATGTTTGGGAGCACAAGAGGCCTATAGTGAAAAAGGAAATGACAAGATAAAAACTAGAAAGAAGTTTTCTGAGAAACTAGTTAGTGAAGTCTGCATTCTTCTCACAGAGGTAAGCGTGTCTTTTGATTGAGGAGTTTGGAAACACTGTTTTTGTAGAATCTGCAAAGCGATATTTGGGAGTGCACTGATGCCTTTGGTGAAAAAGGAAATATCCTTGGACAACAACTAGAAAGAAGCTCTTTGAGAAACTGCTCTATCATGGATGCATTCTTCTCACAGAGATAAACTTCTCTTTTGACTGAGCAGTTTGAAAGTCCTGTGTTTGTATAATCTGCAAAACGATTTTAGGTAGCAAAAAGTCCTATGGTGAACAAGGAAATACTTTCACATAAAAACCGGAAAGAAGCATTATGAGAAACTGCTTTTTGATATGTGCATTCTTCTCATAGAGACAAATGCTTCTTTTAAGGGAACTGTTTGGAAACACAGCTTTTGTAGGAACTGCAAAGTGATATTTGGGAGTTCATTGAGGCCTATGTTGGAAAAGGAAATATCTTCAGAGAAGAAGTAGATAGAATCTTTCTGAGGAACTGCTTTGTGATGTGTGCAATCATGTCACAGAGTTAAAACTTTCTTTTGAATGAGCAGTTTGGAAACACTGTTTTTTCGAATCTTCCAAGGGATATTTAGGAGCACATTGAAGTCTTTGTTGAAAAAGGAAATATCTTCAGAAAAGAACTAGACAGAAGCTATCTGAGAAACTGCTTTGTGATGTGTGCATTCATCTCACAGAGTTAAATTCTTGTTTTGATTCAGCAGTTTGGAAACACTGCTTTTGTAGAATCTGCAAAGCAATATATGGGAGTGTACCAGGCCTAAGATGAAAAAGGAAATAACCTCAGATTAAAACTAGAAGACACCTTCCTAAGAAACTGCTTTGTGTTGTGTGCATTCTTCTCACAGAGTTAAACGTTTCTTTTGATTGAAAAGTTTGGAAACGCTGGCTTTGTAGAATCTGCAAAGGGATATTTGGGAGTGCACTGATGCCTATGGTGAAAAAGGAAATATCTGTAGATAAAAACTAGAAAAAAGCTTTTTGAGAAACTGCTTTGAGTTGTATGCACTCATCTTACAGACTTAAACTGTTCTTTTGAGTGAGCAGTTTGGAAACACTCTTTTTTAAATAATCTGCAAAGCTATGTTTAGTAGCATAAAATGTCCTGTGGCAAACAAGGAAACAGTTGCAGATAAAAAATGGAAAGAACCATTATGAGAAACTGCTTTCTGATGTGTGCATTCATCCCACAGAGGTAAATCCTTATTTTGATGGAACAGTTTGGAAACATTGTTTTTACAGAATCTGTGAAGGGATACTCGGGAGCGCATTGAAGCCTGTGATGAAAAAGGAAATATCTCCAGTAAAAAACGGGAAGGAAGCTTTCAGAGAAACTGCTTCGTGATGTGTGCATTCATCTCACAGAGTTAAAATTTCTTTTGATTCTGCAGTTTGGAAACACTGTTTTGGTAAAATCTGCTAAGGGTTATTTTTCAGCACACTGAGGCCTAAGGTGAAAAATGAAATAACTTCATATGAAAACTTGAAAGAAGCTTTCTGAGATACCACTTTGTGATGTGTATATTCTTCTCACCAAACTAAACCTGTTTTTTGATTGAGCAGTTCAGAAACACGGTTTTTGTAGAATCTGCAAAGGTATATTTTGGAGCATAATGAAGCCTACAGTGAAAAAGGAAACATCTTTGGATAAAAATTAGAAAGAAGGTTATTGAGAAACTGCTTTGTGATGTGTGCATTCACCTCACAGAGTTAAATGAGTTTTTGATTGAGTAGCTTGGAAACAGTTTTTGTAGAATATTTGAAAGGATATTTGGGACTGCGTGAGGACTATGGTGAAAAAGGAAATAACTTTAGATAAAAATTAGAAAGAAGCTTTCTGAGAAACTGCTTTGTTTTGTGTGCTTTCATCTTACAGAGTTAAGTGTTTCTTTTCACGGAACAGTTTGGAGCACTGTTTTTGTAGAATCTGTGTAGGAATATTTGGGAGTGTATCAAGACCATGGTGGAAAAGGAAATATCTTCAGAGAAGAAGTAGACAGAAGTTTTCTGAGAAGCTGCTTTGTGAAGTGTGCATTCATCTCACGAAGTTAAACCTTTCTTTTGATTGAGAAGTTTGGAAACACTGTTTTTGTAGAATATATGAAGGCATATTTGGGAGCATGTTTATGCCTACAGTGAAAAAGGAAATACCTTCAGATAAAAACTAGAAAGAAGCCTTTTGAGAAAATGCTACGCAATGTGTGCTTTCAACTCACAGAGTTAAAACTTTCCTTGGAATGATCAGTTTGGAAACACTGTTTTTGTAGAATCTGCAAAGGGATATTTGGGAGCACACGATGACTATGGTGAAAAAGGAAATACCTTCTGATAAAAAGTGGAAAGGAGTTTTTGAGAAACTGCTTTGTGAACTGTGCATTCAACTCACAAATTTAAACCTGTTTTTTGGTTGAGCATTTTGGACACTCTTTTTTTGTAGAATCTGTGATGGGATATTTGGGCATGCATTGAACCCTAGGGTGATAAAGGAATTATCTTTGGATAAAAACAAGAAAGTAGCTTTTTGAGAAGCTTCTTTGTGATGAATGCATTTATCTCACAGAGTGAAACCTTTATTATGACTGAGCAGTTTGGAAACATTGTTTTTGCAAAATCTGTGAACTGATATTAGGTAGTGCAAAAAAAGCCTATGGTGAAAAAGGAAATGTCTTCAGATTAAAACTGGAAAGAAGGATTATGAGAACCTTCTTTCTTTTGTGTGTGTTCATCTCACAGAGTTTAGTTCTTCTTTTAATCAAACAGTTTTGAAACACTGTTTTTGTAATATCCACAAAGGGATATTTTGGAGCACATTGACGTCTAAGGTGAAAAAAGAATTATCTTCAAATAAAAAGTAGAAGGAAGCTTTTTGAGAAACTGTTTTGTGATATGTGTGTTCAAGTCACAGAGTTAAACCTGTTTTTTCCTTGAGCAATTTGGAAACAGTGTTTTTGTAGAATCTGAGACGGGAAATTTGGGAGTGCATTGAAGCCTACAGTGATAAAAGAAATATCTTCAGAAAATCACCAGAAAGAAGCTTTTTAAGAAAGTGGTTTGTCATGTGTGCATTCATCTCACAGAATTAAACCTTTCCTATGACTGAGCAGTTTGGGAACACTGTTTTTGCAAAATCTGCAAGGTGATATTACATAACGTATAAAAGCCTATGGTGAACAAGCAAACATTTTGAGATAAATACTGAAAAAAAGTGTTACGAGTTACTGCTTTCTAATGTGTGCCATCTTCTCACAGAGTTAAATATTTCTTTTGATCAAGCAATTTGGAAATAGTGTTTTTGTAGAATCTGCAAGAGGAAATTTGGGAGTGCATTGAAGCCTATAGTGATAAAGGAAATATCTTCAGATAATAACAAGAAAGAAGCTTTTTGAGAAAGTGGTTTGTGATGTGTGCATTCATCCCACAGAGTTAAACCTTTCCTATGACTGAGCAGTTTGGGAACACTGTTATTGCAAAATCTGCAAAGTGATATTAGGTAGTGTAAAAAAGCCTATGGTGAAGAAGCAAACATTTTGAGACAAAAACTGGAAAGAAACTGTGAAACTGCTTAGTGAGGTGTGCATTCTTCTCAGAGATGCATTCTTCTCAGAGACTTAAAAATTTTATTGAGCAGTTTAGAAACACAGTTTTGTAGAATCTGTGAAGGGATATTTGGGAGTGCACAAGTCCTATGGTGAAAAAGGAAATACCTTCAGATAAAAACTAGAAAGAAGCTTTTTGAGAAACTGCTTTGTGATGAGTGCACTCATATCACAGAGTTAAAAATTTCTTTTGACTGAGCAGTTCAGAAACACACTTTTTGCAAAATCTGCAAAGCGATATTATGCAGCGCAAAAAAAGCTGTGGTGAAAAAGGAAACATCTTCACATGAAAACTGGAAAGAAGCATTATGATAGACTGCATCCCAATGTGTGCATTCATCTCAGAGTTAAGTCCTTCTTTTGATGGAACAGATTGGAAACACTGTTTTTGTAGAATCTGTGAAGGGATATTTGGGATTACCTTTAGTCTTACAGTGGAAAAGGAAAAAATCTTCAGAGAACTAGACAAAAGCTTTCTAAGGAATGCTTTGTGATGTGTGCATTCATCTCACAGAGTTAAACCTTTCTTTTGATTGAGCATTTAGGAAACACTGTTTCTGTATGATCTGCAAAGGCATAGTTGGGAGCGCATTGAGGACTATGGTGAAAAAGGAAATATCTTCGGATGGAGATGAGAAAAATGCTTTTTGAGAAACTGCTTTGTGATGTGTGCATTCATCTCACAGAGGTAAACCTTTCTTTTGATTGAGCAGTTTGGAAACACTGTTTTTGTAGAAACTGTGAATGGATATTTAGGAGTGCATGAGGCCTAAGGTGAAAAAGGAAATATTTCTAGATAAAAACTATAAAGAAGCTTCTTGAGAATCTGTTTTGTGGTGTGTGCCTTCAACTCACAGAGTTAAACCTCTTTTTTAATTGAGCAGTTTGGAAACACTGTCTTTGCAGAATCTGTGGCAGGATATTTGGGAGCACTTTGAAGCCTATGGTGATGAAGGAAATATCTTTGGATAAAAACTAGGAAGAAGTTTTTGAGAAACTGCTTTGTGATGTGTGCCTTCATCTCAGAGAGTTAAACCTTTCTTTTGACTGAGTAGTGTGGAGACACTGTGTTTGTAGAATCTGTGAAGGAATATTTGGGAGCACACGAGGCCAATGTTCAAAAAGGAAATAACTTCAGATAAAAACTAGAAAGAAGCTTTCTGAGAAAACGATTTTTGGTGTGTGCATTCTTCTCAAATACTTAAATGTTTCATTTGTTTGAGCAGTTTGGAAACAATGTTTTTGTAGAATCTGCAAAGGGATATATGGGAGTGCATGGATGCCTATTGTGGAAAAAGAATATCTTGTGATAAAAAGTGGAAGTCAGCTTTTTGAGAAACTGCTTTGTGATGTATGCATTCATACCACAGAGTTAAATCTTTCTTTTGACTGAGTAGTCTGGAAACAAAGTTTTTGTAGAACCTCTGATGCGATGTTAAGTACCACAAAAGGGCCTATGGTGAACAAGGAAATTTCTTCAGATGAAAACTGGATAGATGCATTATGAGAAATTGTTTTGTGAAGTGTGTGTTCACCTCACAGAGTTAAATCCTTCTTTTGAAGGAACAGTTCAGAAACACTTTTTTTATAGAATCTGTGAAGGGTCATTTTGGAGCGCATTGAGGCCTATGGTGGAAATGGAAATATCTTCAGAGAAGAGCTAAGCAGAAATTATCTGACAAACTTCTTTGTGATGTATGCATTCTTCTCACAGAGTTAAACTTTTCTTTTGATTGAGCAGTTTGGAAACACTGTTTTTGTACAATCTGCAAAGGTAAATTTGGAAACACACTGAGGTCTATGGTGAAAAAGGAAATATCTTCGGATGAAAACTAGAAGGAAGCTTTTAGAGAAATTCTTTGTGATGTGTGCATTCATCTCACAAAGTAAACCTGTTTTTGGATTGAGCAGTTTGGAAACACTGTTTTTGTAGACTCCGTGATGGCATATTTGGGAGCACACTGAAGCGTATGGTGAAAAAGGGAATATCTTCAGATAAAAAGTAGAAGGAATCTATCTAACAAAGTGCTTTGTGATGTGTGCTTTCATTACATAGAGTTATAACTTTCTTTGATTGATGTGTTTGGCAACACTGTTTCTGTAGAATATACAAAGGTATATTTCAGAGTGCCCTGAGGCCTATGTTGAAAAATGAAATATTTTTGGATAAAAACTAGAAAGAAATTTTTTTGAGAAACTGCTTTTGAGATGGGATCATTCAAGTGACAGAGTTTAACCTGCTTTTTGACTGAGCAGTTTGGAAACACTGTTTTTGTAGAATCTGTGAATGAAAGTTGAGAGCGCATTGAAGCCTATAGTGAAAAAGGAAATATCTTTGAACAAAAACTAGAAAGAAGATTTTTGAGAAACTGCATTGTGATGTCTGCATTCATCTCACAGAGTTAAAATTTTCTGTTGATTGATCACTTTGGACACACTGTTTTTGTAGAATCTTCAAAGGAATATTTTGGATTGCATTCAGGACTATGGTGCAAAAGAAAATATCTTCAGCCAAGAACTAGACAGAATCTTCCTGAGAAACTGCTTTATGATGTGTGCATTCATCCCATATAGTTATATCTTTCTTTTGATTGAGCAGTTTTATAACATCTGCAAAGGAAATAACTTCAGATAAAAACTAAATAGGGTTTTTCTGATAAACCGCATTACTATGTGTGCATTTTTCTCACAGAGGAAAAATTTTCTTTTGATTGAGCAGTTTGGAAACAGTGTTATCATAGAATCTAAAATGGGATATTTGGGAGCACACTGATGCTTATGGTGAAAAAGGAAATATCTTCGGATAAAAACTAGAGGGAAGATCTTTTAGAAAATGCTTTCTGATGGATGCATTCATCTCACAGAAATAAACTTTTCTTTTGACTGAGCAGTTTTGAAACACTTTTTTTTTTATAATCTTTGAAGTGATGCTTTCTAGTGCAAAAAGGTCTATGGTGAACAAGGAAATATTTTAAGATAAAAACTGGAAAGAATTGTTGTGAGAAACTTCTTTCTCATGTGTGCATTCATCTCATAGAGTACAACATTTCTTTTGATGGAACAGTGCAGAAACAATGTTTTTATAGAATCTGCAAAGGGATATTTGGGAGCACTTTGGGGCCTATGGTGGAAAATTAAATATCTTCAGAAGAGTACTAGAGAGAGGCTATCTGAGAAACTCCTTTGTGATGTTTGCATTTACCTTACAGATTTAAACCTTTCTTTTCATTTAGCAGTTTGGAAACACTGTTTTTGTAGAAGCTGCAAAGAGATATTTGCGAGAGCACTGAGGCCTATAGTGAAAAAGGAAATATTTTCAGATAAAAACCAGAAAGAGGCTTTGAGAAATTGCTTTCTGATATGTGCATTCAACACACAGAGTTAAACCAGTGTTTTGATTGAGCAGTTCAGAAACCCAGTTTTTGCAGAATCTCTGATGGGATATTTGGGATGGCATTGAAGCCTGTGGTGATAGAGGAAATATCTTCAGATAAAATATAGAAAAAAGCTTTTGAGAAACTGTTTTGTGATGTGTGCATTCATCTCACAGAGATAAGCCTTTCATTTAACTGAGCATTTTGGAAACACTGTTTTTGCAAAATTTGTGAAGCGATGTAAAGTAGCCCAAAAAAGACTACAGTGAACAAGGAAATATCTTCAGAGAAAACTGGAAAGAGGCGTTATGAGACACTGTTTTCTTATGTGTACATTTATCTCACAGAGTTATGTCATTCTTTTGATGGAGCAGTTTGGAAACACTGTTATTTTCAGAATCTGTGAAGGGATATTTTGGAGCATATTGAGGCCTATGGTTAAAAAGGAAATATCTTCAGAGAAGAACTACATGGAAGATTTCAGAGAAACTGCTTTGTAATGTGTGTGTTTATCTCACAGACTTAAAACTTTCTTTTGATTGAGCTGTTTGGAAACACTGTTTTATAGAATCTGTGAAGGGATATTTGGGAGGCCTATGTTGGAAAAGGAAATATCATTAGAGAATTAGACGGAAGTTATCTGAGAAACAGCTTTGTGATGCATGAATTCATCTCACAGATTTAAACCTTCTTTTTGATAGAGCAGTTTGAAAACACTATTTTTGTAGAATATGAAAAGGTATATTTGGAGTGAACTGAGGCCTCTGGTGAAAAGGGAAATATCTTCAGAAAAGAAGTAGATATAAACTATCTGAGAAACTGCTTTAAGATGCTCTAATTCTTCTCACAGATTTAAACCTTTCTTGTGATTGAGCAATTTGAAAACACTATTTTAGTAGAATAAGCAAAGGTATATTTGGAAGCACACTGAGGCCTATATTGAAAAGGGAATTATCTTAGGATAAAAACTAGAAAGAAGCTTCTTGAGAAACTCGTTTGTGATGTGTGCATTCACCCCATGGAGTTAAAATTTTCTTTACACTGAGAAGTTCAGAAACACATTTTTGCAAAATCTGAAAAGCAATATCAGCTACAGCAAAAAAGCCTATAGTGATAAATGTAATATCTTCAGATAAAAACTGGAAGGAAACATTATGAGAAATGGCTTTCAGATGTGTGTGTTCATCTCACAGAGATAAGTCCTACTTTTGATGTAACAGTTTGGAAACAATTTTTTTATTGTTTATTTTTTATTATTATTATACTTTAAGTTTTATGGTACATGTGCACAATGTGCAGGTTAGTTACATAAGTATACATGTGCCATGCTGGTGTGCTGCACCGATTAATTCATCATTAAGCATTAGCTATATCTCCTAATGCTATCCCTCCCTGCTACCCCCACCCCACAACAGTCCCCAGAGTGTGATGTTCCCCTTCCTGTGTCCATGTGTTTTCATCGTTCAATTCCCATCTATGAGTGACAACATGCGGTGTTTGGTTTTTCGTCCTTGCGATAGTTTACTGAGCATTATGATTTCCAATTTCATCCATGTCCCTACAAAGGACATGAACTCATCATTTTTTATGGCTGCATAGTATTCCATGGTGTATATGTGCAACATTTTCTTAATCCAGTCTATCATTGTTGGACATTTGGGTTGGTTCCAAGTCTTTGCTATTGTGAGTACTGCCACAATAAACATACGTGTGCATGTGTCTTTATAGAAGCATGACTTGTAATCCTTTGCGTATATACCCAGTAATGAGATGGCTGGGTCTAATGGTATTTCTAGTTTTAGATCCCTGAGGAATTGTCACACTGACTTCCACAATGGTTGAACTAGTTTACAGTCCCACCAACAGTGTAAAAGTGTTCCTATTTCTCCACATCCTCTCCAGCACCCGTTGTTTCCTGACTTTTTAGTGATTGCCATTCTAACTGGTGTGAGATGGTATCTCATTGTGGTTTTGATTTGCATTTCACCTGATGGCCAGTGATGGTGAGCATTTTTTCATGTGTTTTTTGGCTGCATAAATGTCTTCTTTTGAGAAGTGTCTGTTCATGTCCTTCGCCAACTTTTTGACGGGGTTGTTTGTTTTTTTTTCTGGTAAATTTGTTTGAGTTCATTGTAGATTCTGGATATGAGCTCTTTGTCAGATGATAGGTTGCGAAAATTTTCTCCCGTTTTGTAGGTTTCCTGTTCACTCTGATGGTAGTTTCTTTTGCTGTGCAGAAGCTCTTTAGTTGAATTAGTTCCCATTTGTCAATTTTGGCTTTTGTTGCCAATACTTTTGGTGTTTTAGAAATGAAGTCCTTGCCCATACCATGTCCTGAATGGTAATGCCTAGGTTTTGTTCTAGGGTTTTGATGGTTTTAGGTCTAACATTTAAGTCTTTAATCCATCTTGAGTTAATTTTTGTATAAAGTGTAAGAAAGGCATCCAGTTTCAGCTTTCTACATATGGCTAGCCAGTTTTCCCAGCACCATATATTAAATAGGGAATCTTTTCCCCATTGCTTGTTTTTCTCAGGTTTGTCAAAGATCAGATAGTTGTAGATATGCAGCCTTATTTCTGAGGGCTGTGTTCTGTTCCATTGGTCTATATCTCTGTTTTGGTACTAGTACCATGCTGTTTTGGTGACTGTAGCCTTGTAGTATAGTTTGAAGTCAGGTAGTGTGATGCTTCCAGCTTTGTTCTTTTGTCTTAGGATTGAATTGGTGATGCTGACTCTTTTTTGGTTCCACATGAAGTTTAAAGTAGTTTTTTCCAATTCTGTGAAGAAAGTCATTGGTAGCTTGATGGGGATGGCATTGAATCTATAAATTACCTTGGGCAGTATGGCCATTTTCACGATATTGATTCTTCCTACCCATGAGCATGGAATGTTCTTCCATTTCTTTGTATCCTCTTTTATTTCATTGAGCAGTGGTTCATAGTTCCTTCATGTCCCTTGTAAGTTGGAGTCCTAGGTATTTTATTCTCTTTGAAGTGATTGTGAATGGGAGTTCACTCATGATTTGGCTCTCTGTTTGTCTGTTATTGATGTATAAGAATGCCTGTGATTTTTGTACATTGATTTTGTATCCTGAGAGTTTGCTGAGGTTGCTTATCAGTTTAAGGAGATTTTGAGCTGACATAATGGGGTTTTCTAGATATACAATCATGTCATCTACAAACAGGGACAATTTGACTTCCTCTTTTCCTAATTGAATATCCTTTATTTCCTTCTCCTGCCTGATTGCCCTGGCCAGAACTTCCAACACTATGTTGAATAGGAGTGGTCAGAGAGGGCATCCCTGTCTTGTGCCAGTTTTCAAAGGGAATGCTTCCAGTTTTGCCCATTCAGTATTATATTGGCTGTGGGTTTGTCATAGATAGCTCTTATTATTTTGAGATACGTCCCATCAATACCTATTTTATTGAGAGTTTTTAGCATGAAGGGTTGTTGAATTTTGTCAAGCCCACTTGATCATGGTGGATAAGCTTTTTGATGTGCTGCTGGATTCGGTTTGCCAGTATTTTATTGAGAATTTTTGCATTAATGTTCATCAAGGGTATTGGTCTAAAATTCTCTTTTTTGGTTGTGTTTGTGCCCGGCTTTGGTATCAGGATGATTCTGGCCTCATAAAATGAGTTAGGGAGAATTCCCTCTTTTTCGATTGATTGAAATAGTTTCAGAAAGAATGGTACCAGTTCCTCCCTGTACCTCTGGTAGCATTCAGCTGTGAATCCATCTGGTCCTGGACTCTTTTTGTTTGGTAAGCTATTGATTATTGCCACAATTTCATAGCCTGTTATTGGTCTATTCAGAGACTCAACTTCTTCCTGGTTTAGTCTTGGGACGGTGTATGTGTCGAGAAATTTATCCATTTCTTCTAGATTTTCTAGTTTATTTGCATAGAGGTGTTTGTAGTATTTGCTGATGGTAGCTTGTATTTCTGTAGGATCAGTGGTGAAGCAAGTCCTGAGTGACCTACAAAGAGACTTAGACTCCCACACAATAATAATGGGAGAATTTAACACCCCACTGTCAATATTAGACAGATCAATGAGACAGAAAGTAAATAAGGATACCCAGGAATTGAACTCAGCTCTGCACCAAGCGGACCTAATAGACATCTACAGAACTCTCCACCCCAAATCAACAGAATACACATTTTTTTCAGCACCACACCACAGCTATTCCAAAATTGACCACATACTTGGAAGTAAAGCTCTCCTCAGCAAATTTAAAAGACCAGAAATTATAACAAACTGTCTCTCAGACCACAGTGCAATCAAACTAGAACTCAGGATTAAGAAACTCACTCAAAACCACTCAACTACGTGGAAACTGAAAAACCTGCTCCTGAATGACTACTGGGTACATAACGAAATGAGGGAAGAAATAAACAAGCTCTTTGAAACCAATGAGAACAAAGACACAACATACCAGAATCTCTGGGACACATTCAAAGCAGTGTGTAGAGGGAAATTTACAGCACTAAATGCCCACAAGAGAAAGCAGGAAAGATCCAAAATTGATACCCTAACATCACAATTAAAACAACTAGAAAAGCAAGAGCAAACACATTCAAAAGCTAGCAGAAAGCAAGAAATAACTAAAATCAGAGCAGAACTGAAGGAAATAGAGACACAAGAAACCCTTCAAAAACTTAATGAATGCAAGAGCTGGTTTTTTGAAAGGATCAACATAATTGATAGACCCCTAGCAAGACTAATAAAGAAGAAAAGAGAGAAGCATCAAATAGACTAAATAAAAAAAGGAAACAGTCTTTTTCTAGAATCTGCAAAGGGATATTCCAGAGTGTTTTGAGGCCAGTGGTGAAAAAGGAAATATCTTCACATAAAAACTGGACAGAATTTTTCTGAGAAACTTCTTTGTGATGTGTGCATTCAACTCACAGACTTGTACTTTAAGTTTGATTGACCAGTTTGTAAACTGTCTTTTTGTACAAACTGCAAAGGAATATTTGGGAGCCCTTTGAGGCCTAAGGTGAGAAAGGAGATATCTTCGCATAAAAACTAGACGAAACTTTCTTTTGATTGAGCAGATTAGAAAGAGTCTTTTTATGGTATATGCAAAAGGATATTTGGGATCTCTTTGAGGCCTATGGTGAAAAAGGAAATATCTTCACATAAAAACTAAACAGAAGCTTTTTGAGAAACTTCTTTGTGATGTGTGAATTCATCTCACAGAGTTGAACCTTTCTTTGGATTGAGCAGTTTGTTAACAGTCTTTTTCTAGAATCTGCAAAGGGATATTTCTGAGCATGTTGAAGCCTATAGCTTAAAAGGAAATATCTTCATATAAAAACTAGACAGAAGACTTCTGAGAAACTGCTTTGCAATGTGTGCATTCAACTCACAGACTTGAATCTTTCTTTTGATTGAGCAGTTTGGAAACAGTCTTCTTGTAGAATCTCCAAATGGATATTTGGGATCCTTTTGATGCCTATTTTGAAAAAGGGAATATCTTCACATAAAAAGTAGACAGAAGCTCTCTCAGAAACATCTTTGTGATGTTTGCATTCATCTCACAGTTTAGAATCTTTCTTTTGATTGAGCAGTTTGGAAGCAGTCTTTTTAAAGAATCTGCAAAGGGATATTTCTCAGTGGTTTGATGCCTATGGTGAAAAATATAATATCTTCATATAAAAACTAGATAGAAGCTTTCTGAGAGACATCTTTGTTATGTGTGCATTCAACTCACAGACATTAACTTTACTTACTTTACTTTTGATTGAGCAGTTTGGAAACCGTCTTTTTGTGGAATCTGTGAAGGGGTAATTTGTAGCCCTTGGATGCCTATGATGAAAAAGGAAACATGTTCACTTAAAAATGGGACAGAAGAGTTCTGAGAAACTTCACTATGATGCAGACATTCATCTCCCAGAATGCAATATTTCTTTTGATTGAGCAGTTTGGAAACAGCTCCTTTGTAGAATCTGCAAGGGGATATTTGCGAGCACATTGAGGCCTATGGTGAAAAAGGAAACATCTACAAATAAAAACTAGACAGAAGATTTCTAAAAAATTCCATTGTGATGAGTGCATTAATCTCACAGACTTGAATCTCTCTTCTGATTGAGCAGTTTCAAAACAGTCTTCTTCTAGAATCTGCAAAGGGATATTTCTCAGTGGTTTGAGGCCTATGATGTAGAAAGAAGTATCTTCACATAAATCTAGATGGAAGCTTTCTGAGAAACTTCTTTGTGATGTATGCACTCATCTCACAGAGTTGAACCTTTCTTTTGATTGTGCAGTTTGGAAACAGTCTTTTTCTAGAATCTGTAAAGGTATATTTATTAATGGTATGATGCCTATGGTGAAAAAGAAAATATCTTCACATAAAAATTAGACAGAAGCTTTCTGAGAAACTTCTTTGTGATGTGTGCATTCAACTCACAGAGTTCAACCTTTCTTTTGATTGAGCAGTTTGGAAACAGTCCTTTTGTAGAATCTGCAAAGGGATATTTCTGAGAGATTTGAGGCCTATGATGAACAAGGAAACATTTTCATATAAAAACTAGACAGAAGCTTTCTCAGAAAATTCTTTGTGATGCGTTCATTGAACACACTGAGTTGAACCTTTCTTTCATTGAGCAATTTGGAACCCATCCTTTTGTAGAATCTGCAAAGGGATATTTCTGAGCGGTTTGAGGCCGATGGTGAAAAAGGAAATATCTTCACATGAAAACTAGACAGAAGCTTTCTGAGAAACTTCTTTGTGATGGGTGCATTTATCTCACAGTTGAACCTTTCTTTTGATTGAGCACTTTGGAATCCGTCTTTTGTAGTACCTGCAAAGGGATATTTGGGAGCACTTTGTGCCCTATGGTGAAAGTGGAAATTTATTCACATAAAAAATTGACAGAACCTTCTGAGAAACTTCACTGTGATGCTTGCATTGATCACACAAAGTTGAACCTTACTTTTGATTGAGCAGTTTGGAAACAGTCTTTTTGTAGAATGTGCAAAGGGATATTTGAAGACCCTTTGAGGCCTCTGGTGAAAAAGGAAATGTCTTCACATAAAAACTAGACCTAATCTTTCCGAGAAACTTATTTGTGGTGAGTGCATTCATCTCACAGATTTGAATCTTCTTTTGATTGAGCAGTTTGGAAACAGTCTTTTTCTAGAATCTGCAAAGGGATATTTCTCAGTGGTTTGAGGCCAATGGTGAAAAAGGAAATATCTTCACATAAAAACTAGACAGAAGATTTCTGAGAAACTTCTCTGTGATGTGGGCATTCATCTCTCAGAGTTGAATCTTTCTTTTGATTGAGCAGTTTGGAAACAGTCTTTTTGTAAAATCTGCAAAGGGAAACTTTGGATCGCTTTGAGGCCAATGGTGAAACAGCAAATATATTCTTATAAAAACTGGACAGAGCTTTCTGAGAAACTTCTTTGTGATGTGTGCATTCATCTCACAGAGTTGAACCTTTCTTTTGATTGGGCAGCTTGGAAATAGTCTTCTTCTAGAATTTGCAAAGGAATATTTCTGAGCGGTTTGAGGCTTATGGTCAAAAAGGAAATATCTTCACCTATAATTTAGACAGAAGCTCTCTGAGAAACTTCTTTCTCATGTGTGCATTCATCTCACAGAGTTGAACCTTTCTTTTGATTGAGAAGTTTGGAAACAGTCTTTTTCTAGAATCTGCAAAGGGATATTTCTGAGCAGTTTGATATCAATGGTGAAAAAGGAAATATCTTCACATAAAGACTAGACAGAAGTTTCTCAGAAAATTCTTTGTGGTGTGTGTATTTCTCTCACAGAGTTGAACTTTTCTATTGATTAAGCAGTTTGGAAACAGTTTTTTTCTAGAATCTGCAAAAGGATATTTCTGAGCGGTTTGAGGCCTATGGTGAAAAAGGAAATAACTTCACATCAAAACTAGACAGAAGCTTTCTGAGAAACTTGCTTGTGTTAACCTCACAGAGTTGAAACTTTCTTTTGAACAGTTTGGAAAGAGTCTTTTTGTAAAATCTGCAAAGGGATATTTGGGAGCTGTTTGAGGCATATGGAGAAAAAGGAAATATCTTCATCTAAAACCTAGACAGAAACTCTCAGAGAAACTTCTTGGTGATGTGTGCATTCAACTCACAGACTTGAACCTTTCTTTTGTTGGAGCAGTTCGGAAACAGTCTTTTTATAGATTCTGCAAAAGGATACTTGGGATCCATTTGAGGTCTATTTTGAGAAAGGGAATATCTTAACATAAAAACTATACAGAAGCTTTCTTAGAAAAAATGATGAGTTCATGTCCTTTGTAGGGACATGGATGAAATTGGAAAACATCATTCTCAGTAAACTATCGCAAGAACAAAAAACCAAACACCGCATATTCTCACTCATAGGTGGGGATTGAACAATGAGATCACATGGACACAGGAAGGGGAATATCACACTCTGGGGACTGTTGTGGGGTGGGGGGAGGGGGGAGGGATAGCATTGGGAGATATACCTAATGCTAGATGACGAGTTAGCAGGTGCAGTGCACCAGCATGGCACATGTATACATATGTAACTAACCTGCACAATGTGCACATGTACCTTAAAACTTAGAGTATAATTAAAAAAACATACCATTACCTCAAAAAAAAAAAAACTGTGATATATATGTATACACAATGGACTACTACTCGTCTATGAAAAGGAATGGATTAACAGCATTTGTAGTGACCTGGATGAGATTAGAGACTATTATTCTAAGTGAAGTAACTCAGGAATGGAAAACAAACCATCATATGTTCTCATTGATATGTGAGAGCTAAGCTATGAGGATGCAAAGGCATAAGAATGATACAATGGACTTTGAGGGCTTGATGGGAAGAGTGAGAGGGGGTGAGTGATAAAAGACTACAAATATGGTGCAGTGTATACTGCTTGGGTGATGGGTGCACCAAATCTCATAATCACCACTGAAGAACTTACTCATGTAACCGAATACCACCTATACCCCAATAACTTTTGAAAAAATTAAATTAAATTAAAAATTAAGCATAAATAAATAAATTGTGCATCCCCTTCCAAAAAAAAAAAAGAGACTTCTTTGTGATGTGTGCATTCATCTCACAGAATTATGCCATTCTTCTGATTGTGCAGTTTGGAAACAGTTTTTTTGTAGAATCTGCAAATGGATGTTTGCGAGCTGTTTGATGCCTATGGTGAAAAAGGAAATATCTTCATATGAAAACTTGACAGAAACTTTCTGAGAAACTTCTTTATGATGTGTGAATTCATTTCATGGAGTTGAAACTTTCTTTTGATTGAGCAGTTTGGAAAGAGTCTTTTAGTAGAATCTGCAAATGGATATCTGGGATCCCTTTGAGGCCTATGGTGAAAAACAAAATATCTTCACATAAAAACGAGACAGAAGTTTTCTCAGAAAATTCCTTGTGATGTGTGCATTCATCTCACAGATTTGAACCTTTCTTTTGATTGAGCAGTTTGGAAACAGTCTTTTTGAGGGGTCTGCAAAGGGATATTTTTGAGTGGTTTGCGTCCTATGGTGAACAAGGAAATATCTTCACAGAAAAACTAGACAGAAACTTTCTGAGAACCCTCTGTGATGTGTGCATTCATCTCACAGAGTTCAAAATTTCTTTTGATTGAGCAGCTTGGAAACAGTCTTTTTCTTGAATCTTCAAAGAGATATTAGAGGTTGCTTTGATACCTATTTTGAAAAAGGGAATATCTTCACTTAAAAACTAAACAGAAGTTTTCTGAGAAAATTCATTGTGATGCGTGCACTCATCTCACAGAGTTGAAACTTTATTTTGATTGAGCAGCTAGGAAATAGACTTTTTGTAGAATTTGCAGAGGGATATTTGAGGGTGATTTGATTCCTATTTTGAAAAAGGAAATATCTTCACATAAAAATTAGACAGAAGCTTTCTGAGAAACTTCATTGTGATGCTTTCATTCATCTCACAGAGTTGAATCTTTATTTTGATTGTGCAGTTTGGAAACAGTCTTTTTCTAGAATCTGCAAAGGGATATTTCTGAGCAGTTTGATGCCTATTGTGAAAAAGGAAATATCTTCACATAATAACTAGACAGAAACTTTGTGAGAAACTTCTTTGACATGTGTGCATTCCATTCACAGAGCTGAAAATTTCTTTTGATTGAGCAGTTTGGAAACAGTCTTTTTGTAGAATCTGCACAGGGACATTTGAGGGTGCCTTGAGGTCTATGGTGAAAAAGGATATATCTTCACATAAAAACTAGGAAGAAACTTTCTGAGAAACTCCTTTGTGATGTGTGCATTCATCTCTCAGAGTTGAACATTTCTTTTGATTGAGGAGTTTTTAAAAAGTCGTTTTGTAGAATCTGAAAAGGGATGTTTTGGAGCCCTTGGAGGTCTGTGGTGAGAAAGGAAATATCTTCAGGCTAAATCCAGACAGAAGCTTACTGAGAAACTTCTTTGTTATGTGAGCATTCATCTCACAGAGTTGAACCTTTCTTTTCCTTGATCAGTTTGGAAACTGTCTTTTTCCACAATCTGCAAAGTGATATTTCCTAGTGGCTTGAGGCATAAGGTGAAAAAGGGAATATCTTCACATAAAAATTAGACAGAAGATTTCTCAGAAAATTCCTTGAGATGTGTGCATTCATCTCACAGTGTAGAATCTTTCTATTGATTCAGCAGGTTGGAAACAGTGTTTTTATATAATCTGCAAAAGGATATTTGGGATCCCTTTGAGGCCTGTGGTGAAAAAGGGATTATCTTCACATAAAACCTATACAGAATCTTTCTGAGAAACTTCTTTGTGATGTGTGCATTCATCACACAGAATTGAAAGTTTCTTTTGATTGAGCAGTTTGGAAACATTCTTTTTCTAGAATTTTCAAAGGGATATATCCGAGTGTTTTGAGGTCTATGGTGAAAAAGGAAATATCTTCCCATAAAAACTAGATGGAAGCTTTCTGAGAAAATTATTTGTGATGTATGCATTCATCTCACAGTGTTGAATCTTTCCTTTGATTGAGCAGTTTGGAAACTGTCTTTTTCTACAATCTGCAAAGGGATATTTCAGAGTGGCTTGAGGATGGTGGTGAAAAGGGAAACATCTACACATAAAACTGAGGCTTTCTGAGAAATTCTTTGTGATGTGTGCATTGAACTCACAGAGTTGAAACTTCGTTTGATTGAGCAGTTTGGAAACAATCTTTTTGTAGAATCTGCATGGGACATTTGAGGGTGCTTTAAGTCCTATGGTGGAAAAGGAAATATCTTCACATAAAAACTAGACAGAAGCTTTTTGAGAAACTTCTTTGTGATGTGTCCATTCTTCTCTCAGAGTTGAAACTTTCTTTTGATTGAGCAGTTTGGAAACAGTCTTTTTGTAGAATTTGCAAAGGCATGTTTGGGAGCCCTTTGAGGCCTGTAGTGAAAAAGGAAATATCTTCATATAATATCTAGACAGAAGATTTCTGAGAAACTTCTTTGTGATGTGTGCATTCATTTCATAGAGTTGAACCTATCTTTTGATTGAGCAGTTTGGAAACAATCTTTTTCCAGAGTCCGCAAAGTGATGAGGCTGAGCGATTTGAGGCCTAAGGTGAAAATGGAAATATCTTCACAAAAAAAAACAGACAGAAACTTTCTAAGAAACCTCTTTGTGATGTGTGCATTCATCTCACAGATTTGAAACTTTCTTTTGATTAAGCAGTTTTGAAACAGAAACAGTCTTTTTGTAGAATCTGCAAAGGGATATTTCTGAGGGGTTTGAGGCCTACGGTGAAAAAGTAAATATCTTCACATAAAAACTGTGCAGAAGCATTCTGACAAACTTCATTGTGGTGCGTGAATTCATCTCACAAAATTGAACCTTTCTTTTGATTGAGCAGTTTGGAAACAGTCTTTTTATAGAGTCTTCAAAGGGATATTTGAGGGCACTTTGATTCCTATTTTGAAAAAGGAAATATCTTCACATAAAAACTAGACAGAAGCTTTCTGAGATATGTCATAATGATGCTTGCATTCGACTCAGAGATTTGAACCTTTCATTTGATTGAGCAGTTTGTAAAGACTCTTTTTGTAGAATCTGCAGTGGGATATTTTGGAGCCCTTTAACGCCTATGGTGAAAAAGGGAACATATTAACATAAAAACTAGACAGAAGCTTTCTGAGAAACTTCTTTCTGAAGCGTGCATTCATCTCACAGAGCTCAAATTTTCTTTTGATGGAGCAGTTTGGAAAAAGTCTTTTTCTGGAATTGGCAAAGGAATAATTTTCAGCAGTTTGAGGACTACAGTGAAAAAGGAAATATCTTCACATAAAAACTAGACAGAAGCATTCTGAGAAAAGTCTTCATGATGTGTGCAAGCATCTCATAGTGTTGAAACTTTCTTTTGATTAAGCAGTTTGGAAACAGTGCTTTTCTGGTATCTGCAAAGGAATACTTCTGAGCTGTTTGAGGCCTATGGTGAAAAAGGATTATCTTCACATAAAACCTAGACAGAAGCTTTCTGAAAAACATTTCTGTGAAATGTGCATTCATCTCACAGAGTTGAAACTTTCTTTTGATTGAGCAGTTTGGAAACAGTGTTTTTCTACAATCTGCAAAGTGATATTTTTCAGCCGTTTGAGGCCTATGGTGAAAAAGGAAATATGTTCACATAAAAACTAGACAGAAGGTTTCTGAGAAACTTCTTTGTGAAGTGTGTATTCAAATCATCATGTTGAATCTTTCTTTTGATTGAGCAGATGGCAAACTGTCTTTTTCTAGAATCTGCAAAGGGGTATTTCTAAGCATTTTGGTACTTACGGTGAAAAAAGGAATATCTTCATATAAAAACTAGACAGAAGATTTCTCAGAAAATTCTTTGTGTTGTGTGCACTCATCTCACAGAGTTGAACTGTTCTGTTGATTGAGCCATTTGAAAACAGTCTTTTTCTAGAATCTGCAAAGGGATATTTCTGAGTGGTTTGAGGCCTATGGTGAGAAAGGAAATATCTTCACATAAAAATTAGATAGAAGCTTTCTGAGAAACTTCTTTGTGATGTGTGCATTCATCTCACAGAACTGAACCTTTCTTTTGTTTCAGCAGCTTGGAAACATCTTTGTAGAATGTGCATCAGGACATTTGAGGGCGCTTTGAGACCTATGGTGAAGAAGGATATATGTTCACATAAAAAATACAAAGAAACTTTCTGACTAACTTCTTTGTGATGTGTGCATTCATCCCTCAGAGTTGAACCTTTCTTTTGATAGAGGAGTTTTTAAACAGTATTTTTGTAGAATCTGAAAAGGGATGTTTGGGAGTCCTTTATGGTCTGTGGTGAAAAAAGAAATATCTTCACGTTAAATCCAGACAGAAACTTTCTGAGAAAGTTCTTTTTGGTATGTGCATTCATCTCACTGAGTTGAACAGTCTTCTTCCAAAATCTGCAAAGTGATGTTTCCAAGTGGTTTGAGGCATAAGGAGAAAAAGGAATATCTTCATATAAAAAATAGACAGAAGATTTCTCAGAAAATTCTTTGTGATGTGTGCATTCATCTCACAGAGTAGAATCTTTCTATTAATTCAGCAGTTTGGATACAGTCTTTTTGTATAATCTGCAAAGGGATATTTCTGAGTGGTTTGGTGCCTACGGTGGAAAAGGAAATATCTTCACATAAAAACTAGACAGAGGCATTCTCAGAAAATTCTTTGGAATGGTGTGCATTCATCTCACAGATTTGAACGTTTCTTTTGAATGAGTAGTTTGGAAATCATCTTTTTATAGAATCTGCAAAGGGATATTTCTGAGCTGTTTCAGGCCTATGGTGAACAAGGAATTATCTTTCCATAGAAAATAGATAGCAGCTTTCTGAGAAACTTCTTTGTGATGTGTGCATTCATCTCACAGAGTTGAACCTTTCTTTTGATTGAGCAGTTTGGAAACAGTCTTTTTCTAGAAACTGCAAAGGGATACTAGAGGGTGCTTTGAGGCCTATTTTGAAAAAGGAAATATCTTCACATAAAAACTAGACAGAAACTTTCTGAGAAAGTTCATTGTGATGTGTGCATTCATCTCACAGTGTTGAAACTTACTTTTGATTCAGCAGTTTGAAAACAGTCTTTTTCTTGAATCTGCAAAGGGATATTTCTGAGCAGTTTCAGGCCTATGGTGAAAAAGGAAATATCTTCACATTAAAACTAGACAGAAGCTTTCTCAGAAAATTGTTTGTGATGTGTGCATTCACCTCACACAGATGAACCTTTCTTTTGATTGAGCAGTTAGTGAACAGTCTTTTTGTAGAATCTGCAAAAGGTTATTTGGGAGCCCTTTGAGTCCCATGGTGAAAAAGGAAATATCTTCACATAAAAACTAGACAGAAGCTTTCTGAGAACGTTCTTTGTAATGTGTGCATTCATCTGACAGAGTTGAAACTTTCTTTTGATTGACCAGTTTGGAAAGAGTCTTTTTCTAGAATCTGCAAAGGGATATTAGAGGGCACTTTGAGGCCTATTTTGAAAAAGGAAATATCTTCACATAAAAACTAGACAGAAGCTTTCTGAGAAACTTCATTGTGATGTGTGCATTCATCTCACAGTGTTGAAACTTACTTTTGATTGAGCAGTTTGAAAACAGTCTTTTTCTAGAATCTGCAAAGGGATATTTCTGAGCAGTTTCAGGCCTGTGGTGAAAAAGGAAATATCTTCACATTAAAACTAGACAGAAGCTTTCTCAGAAAATTCTTTGTGATGTGTGCATTCATCTCACAGGGATGAACCTTTCTTTCAATTGAGCAGTTAGGAAACGGCCTTTTTGTAGAATCTGTAAAGGGGTATTTCGGAGCCCTTTGAGGCCCATGGTGAAAAAGGAAATATCTTCACATAAAAACTAGATAGAAGCTTTCTGAGAAATTTCTTTGTGATGAGTGCATTCATCTCACAGAGTTGAATCTTTCTTTTGATTGAGCAGTTTGGAAATAGTCATTTTCTAGAATCTTCAAAGGGACATTTCTGAGCACTTTGAGGCCTATGGTGAAAAAGGAAATATCTTCACATAAAAACTAGACAGAATCTTTCTGAGAAACATCCTTGTGATGTTTGCACTCAACTCAAAAATTTGAACCTTTCTTTTGATTGAACTGTTTGGAAAGAGGAACCGTCTTTTTACAGAATCTGCAAAGGGATATTTGGGATCCCTTTGAGGCCTATGGTGAAAAAGGGAATATCTCCACATAAAACCTAGACAGAAGCTTTCTGAGAAACTTCTTTGTGATGTGTGGATTCAGCTCAGAGACTTGTGTTTTACTTTTGATTGACCAGTTTAGAAACAATCTTTTTGTACTATCTGTAGAGAGATATCTGTGTCCAGTTCAAGTTTTAAGGTGAAAAAGGAAATATCTTCACATAAAAACTAGTTGGAAGCTTTCTGAGAAAATTTGTTGTGACGTGTGCATTCATCTCACAGTGTTGAATATTTCTTTTGATTGAGCAGTTTGGAAACATTATTTTTCTAGAATCTGCAAAGGGATATTTCTGAGCAGTTTGAGGCCTATGGTGAAAAAGGAAATATCTTCTCATAAAAACCAGACAGAAGTTTTCTGAGAAACTCCTTTGCCATGTGTGCATTGACCTCCATAGTTGAAACTTTCTTTGGATTGAGCAGTTTGGAAACTGTCTTTTTCTAGGATCTACACAGGGACATTTGAGGTCGCTTTGAGGTCTATGGTGAAAAAGGAAATATCTTCACAGAAAAACAAGACAGAAGCTTTCTGAGGAACTTCTTTGTCATGTGTGCATTTGTCTCTCAGAGTTGAACGTTTCTTTTGATTGAGCAGTTTGGAAACACTCTTTTTGTAGAATCTGCAAAGGGATGCTTGGGAGCCCTTTGAGGCCTGTGTTGAAAAAGGAAATATCTTCACATAATATCTAGACTGAATCTTTCTGAGAAAGTTCTTTGTGATGAGTGCATTCATCTCACAGAGTTGAAGCCTTCTTTTGATTGAGCAGTTTGGAAACCATCTTTTTCTAGAATCTGCAGAGTGATATTTGAGAGCAATTTGATTCCTATTTTAAAAAAGGAAATATCCTCACATAAAAATTAGACAGAAGATTTCTGAGAAACTTCATTGTGATGCTTGCATTCATCTCACAGAGTTGAAGCCTTCTTTTGATTGAGCAGTTTTGAAACAGTCTCTTTGTAGAATCTGCAAGGGGATATTTGGGATCCCTTTGAGGCCTATTTTGAAAAAGGAAATATCTTCACATAAAATCTAGACAGAAGCTTTCTGAGAAACTTCTTTGTGATGTGTGCATTCATCTCACAGAATTGAAACTTTCTTTTGATTGAGCAGTTTGGAAACAGTCTTTTTCTAGAATCTGTAAAGGGATATATCTGAGTGGTTTGAGGCCTATGGAAAAAAAGGAAATATCTTCACATAAAACCTATACTGAAGCTTTCTGAGAAAATTATTTGTGATGTGTGTATTCATCTCACAGAGTTGAACCTTTCTTTTGTTTGAGCAGTTAGGAAACAGTCTCTCTGCAGAATGTGCAAGAGACATTTTAGAGTCCTTTGTGGCCTATGGTGAAAAAGGAAATATCTTCACATAAAATCTAGAGAGAAGTTTCTGAGAAACTTCTTTATGATGAGTGCATTCATCTCACAGAGTTGAATCATTTTTTTGATTTCGAGGAGTTTAGAAACAGTCTTTTTCTAGAATCTGCAAAGGGATATATCCAAGCGGTTTGAGGCCTACGGTGAAAAAGGAAATATCTTCACATAATATCTAGACAGAAGCTTTCTGAGCAACTTCTTTGTGATGTGTGCACTCGTCTCTGAGAGTTGAACCTTTCTTTTGATTGAGCAGTTTGGAAGCAGTCTTTTCTAGAATCTGCAAAGGGATATTTGCGGCCCTTTGAGGCCTATGGTGAAAAAGGAAATATCTTCACATAAATACTATACAGATGCTTTCTCACAAAATTCTCAGTAATGTGTACATTCATCTCGCAGATTTGAATCTTTCTTTTGATTGAGCAGTTTGGAAACAGTCTTTTTGTAGAATCTGCAAAGGGATATTTGGGATCCCTTTGAAGCCTATGGTGAAAAAGGAAATATCCTCACATAAAAACCAGACTGAAGCTTTCTGAGAAACTTCCTTGTGATGTGTGCATTCATCTCACAGACTTGAACTTTTCTTTTGAGTGAGCAGTTTTGAAACAGTATTTTGTAGAATCTGCAATGGGATATTTCTGAGTGGTTTCAGGCCTAGGGTGAAAAAAGAAATATCTTCACTTAAAAACTAGATGGAATCTTTCTGAGAAACTATTTGTGATGTGTGCATTCAACTCACAGAGTTGAATATTTTTTTTTTATTGAGCAGTTTGGAAACAATCTTTTTGTAGAATCTGCAAGGGATACTTGACGGCGCTTTGACGTCTATGGTGGAAAAGGAAATATCTTCACATAAAAACTAGACAGAAGCTTTCTGAGAAACGTCTTTGTGATGTGTGCATTGAACTCACAGAGTTGTACCTTTCTTTTGATTGAGCAGTTTGGAAACAGTCTTTTTGTAGAATCTGCATGGGGACATTTGAGGGTGCTTTGAGGCCTATGGTGAAAAAGGAAATATCTTCACAGAAAAGCTAGAAAGAATCTTTCTGAGAAACTTCTTTGTGATGTGTGCATTCGTCTCTCAGAGTTGAACCTTTCTTTTGATTAAGCAGTTTGGAAACAGTCTTTTTGTAGAATCTGAAAAGGGATGTTTGGAATGTATGAGGCCTATGGAGAAAAAGGAAATATCTTCACATAAAATCTAGACAGAAGCTTTCTGAGAATCTTCTTTGTGATGTGTTCATTCATCTCACAGAGTTGAACCTTTCTTTTCATTGAGCAGTTTGGAAACAGTCTTTTTCCAGAATCTGCAAAGTGATATTTCTGAGCGGTTAGAGGCCTAAGTTGAAAAAGGAAATAGCTCAGAAACCTTCTGTCTAGTTTATATGTGAAGATATTTCCTTTTTTCCATAGGCCTCAAACCCCTCAGAAATATCCCTTTGCAGATTCTACAAAAAGTCTGTCTCCAAACTGCTCAATCAATAGAAAGGTTCAACTATGTGAGATGAATGCTCACTTTACAAAGAATTTTTTGAGAAAGTTTTGTCTAGTTTTTATGTGAAGATATTTCCTTTTCCACCATAGGCATCTAACCACTCAGAATTTGCAAGAAATTTCCCTTTGCAGATTCTTCAAAGTTCTACTCTTTGGAAATAGTCTTTCTAGATAAACCTGTTATTTGATTGAGCAGTTTGGAAACTGTTTTTGTAGAATCTGTGATATTATATTTCATAGCATATTGAAGCCTATGATGACACAGGAAATATCTTCAGGTAAAAACCTGAAAGAATCTTATGGAGACACTGCTTTGTGATAATTGCATTCATCTCATGGTGTCAAACCTTGCTTTTGACTGAGTAGCTTGGAAACAGTGTTTTTGCAAAATCTGTGAACCAATATATGGTAGCACAAAAACCCTATGCTGAAAATGGAAATATATTCAGACAAAAACTGGAAAGAAGCATTATGAGAAACTGCTTTCTAATGTGTGGGTGCATCTCACAAAGTCCTTCTTTTGATGGAACCATTTGGAAACTTTTTTTTGTAGAATCTGCTAAGGGAAATTTGGGATTGCAGGATGCCTATGGTGGAAAAGGGAATACCATTGGATAAAAACTAGAAAGAAGGTTTTTGAGAAACTTCTTTTTGATGTGTACATTCATCTCACAGAGTTAAACCTTTCTTTTGATAGAGCAGTTTGGAAAACCTGTTTTTGCAAAATCCATGTGGCAATATTAAGTAGCGCAAAAAACCCTATGGTGAAAAAGAAAATATCTTCAGATAAAACCTGTAAAGAAGCGTTATGAGAAACTGTTCTAAGATGTGTGAGTTCATCTCACAGAGTTAAGTCCTTCTTTTATTGGAACCGTTTGGAAACACTGTCTTTGTAGAACCTGTGAAGGGATATTTGGGAGCACATTGAGGCCTATGGTCAAAAAGGAAATATCTTCAAAGAAGAACTAGACAGAAGCTATCTGCCAAACTGCTTCATGAGGTGTGCATTCATCTCAGAGAATTAAGTCCTTCTTTTCATGGAACACTTTGGAAACAGTTTTTGTAGAATCTGCAAAGGGATATTTGGCAGTGCATTGAGGCCTATGGTGGAAAACAAATTATCGTCAGACTAGAACTAGACAGAAGCACTCTGAGAAACTGCTTTGTGATGTATGCATTCATCTCAAAGAGTTCACTTTCCCTTGAAAGAGCCTTTTGGAAACACTGCTTTTGTAGAATCTGTGAAGTGATATTTGGGAGTGCATTGAAGCCTATGATGAAAAAGGAAATATCATTGGATAAAAACTTGAAAGAAACTTTTTGAGAAACTGCTTTGTTATGTGTGCATTCATCTCAGATAGTTAAACCTTTCTTTCAATAGAGCACTTTAGAAACACTGTTTTTGTAGAATCTGCAAAGGTATATTTGGGAGCACATTGAGGCCTAGGGTGAAAAAGGAAATATCTTCGGATAAAAATAAGACAGAAGCTTTTTAAGAAACTGGTTGATATGTGTGCTTTCATCTCACAGACGTTAACTTGTTTTTTATTGAGCAATTTTCAAATGTTGTTTTTGTAGAATCAGTGAAAAGATATTTGGGAGTCCACTACGTTTATGGTGAAAAAGGAAATGTCTTCGGATAAAAACTAGAAAAAAGCTTTTTAGAAACTGCTTTGTGATGTCTGTATTCAACTCACAGAGTTAAACCTGTTTTTTGATTGAGCAGTTTGGAAACACCCTTTTTGTAAACTCTGTAATGGGATAATTTAAAGTGCAGTTAGGAATTTGGTGAAAAAGGAATTATCTTTGGTTATAAACTAGAAAGTGGTTTTTTGAGTAGCAGCTTTGTCCTATATGCATTCATCTGACAGCGTTAAACCTGTTTGACTGAGCATTTTGGAAACACTCTTTCTGTAGAATTTGTGAAGCCATATTATGCAGAAGAAAAAAGTATATGTTTATAAAGGAAATATCTGCTGATAAAAATTTGAAAGAAGCATTAAGAGAAACTGATTTCTGATGTTTGCATTCATCTCACAGAGATAAGTCCTTCTTCAATGGAACAGTTTGGAAACACTGTTTTTGTAGAATCTGGAAATGGATATTTGGGAGCACACGGAGGCCTATGGTGGAAAAGGAAATATCTTCAGAGAAGTAGGCAGAAGCTTTCTGAGAAACTGCTATGTGATGTCTGCATTCATCTCACTAAGTTAAACTTTCCTTTTGATTGAGCAGTTAGGAAACACTGTTTTTGATGAATCTGCAAAGGGATATTTGGGAAAGCATTGAAACCTATGTTGAAAAAGTAAATATCTTCGGATAAAAACTAGAAAGATGTTTTTTGAGAAACTGCTTTCTGATGCGTGCATTCATCTCTCATAATTAAACCTTTCTTTTGATTGATCTGTTTGGAAACACTGTTTTTGTAGATTCTGCAAAAAATATTTGGGAGTATACCAGGCCTAAGATGTAAAATGAAATAACCTCAGATTAAAACTAGAAAGCAGCTCTCTGAGAAACTGCTTTGTGATGTGTGCATTCTTCTCACAGAGTTAAACGTTTCTTTTGATTGAACAGTTTGGAAACATTGGTTTTGTAGAATCTGCAAAGGGATATGTGGGAGCGCATTGATGCCTATGGTGAAAAAGGAAATATCTTCAGATGAAAAGCAGAAATAGCCTTTTTGAGAAACTGCTTTGAGATGTATGCATTCATCTCACAGAGTTAAACTTTTCTTTTGATGGAGCAATTTGGAAACACTGTTTTTGTATAATATGTGAAGTAATGTTTGCAAGCTCATGAAGACAATGGTGAAAAAGGAAATAACTTCAGACAAAAACTAGAAAGAAGCTTTCTGAGAAGCTGCTTTGTTATGTGTGTGTTCATCTCACAGTTAAGTCCTTGCTTTCTTGCAACTGTTTGGAAACACTGTTTTGGTAGAATCTGTGAAGGGATATTTGGGAGAGTATTAAGCCTGTATTGGAAAAGGAAATATCTTCAGAGAAGAAGTAGACAGAAGTTTTCTGAGAACCTGCTTTGTGATGTGTGCATTCATCTCACAAAGTTAAACTCTTCTTTTGATTGAGCAGTTTGGAATCACTCTTTTTGTATAATATAGGAAGGTATATTTGGGAGAGCATTGATTCCTATGGTGAAAAAGGACATATCTTTGGATAAAAACAGACAGAAGCCTTTTGAGAAACTGCTATGTGAAGCGTGCATTCATCTCAAGGAGTTCAAACTTTCTTTTCATTGAATGTTTTGGAAACACTGTTGTTGTAGAATCTGCAATGGGATATTTGGGTGTGCACAAGGCCTATGGTGAAAAAGGAAATATCTTTGGATAAAACTAGAGAGAAGCTTTTTACGAAACAGCTTGGTGATGTGTGCATTCATCTCAAAGAGTTAAACATTTCTTTTGACTGAGCAGTTTGGAAACACTATTTTAGCAAAAGCTGTTAAGTGAAATTAGGTACTGCCAAAAAGCCTATGGTAAACTAGGAAATATCGTCAGATAAAAAGTGGAAATAAGCATTATGAGAAACTCCTTTTCCATGTGTGTATTCATCTCACAGAGTTAAAACTTCCTTTTGATTAAGCAGTTTGGAAACACTGCTTTTGTAGAATATGCAAAGGTATATTTCAGAGTGCACTGAGGCCTATGGTGGAAAAGGAAATAGTTTCAGCAAAGAACTAGACAGAAGTTTTCTGAGAAATTGCTTTGTGATGTGTGCATTCATCTCACAGAGTTAAACGTTTCTGTTCATTGAGCAGTTTGGAAAGACTGTTTTTGTAAAATTTGCAAAGGTATATTTGGGAGTGCACTGAGACCTATAGTGAAAAAGGGAATATCTTCAGATGAAAACTAGAAAGAAGCTTTTTGAGAAACTGCTTTGTGATGTGTGCTTCCAACTCACAGAGTTAAACCTGTTTTTTGAGTGAGCAGTTTGGAAACACTGTTTTTGTAGAATCTGTGATGGGATATTTGGGAGCTCATTGAAGCCTACTGTGATGAAGGAAATACCTTTGGATAAAAATTAGAAATAAGCTTTTGTGACACTGCTTTGGGATGTGTGCATTCACCTCACAGAGTTAAAACTTCCTTTTGATAGAGCATTTTGGAAAAACTGTTTTTGTATAATGTACGAAGTGATATTAAGTAGTGCAAAGAGGCCTAAAGTGAAAAAGGAAATATCTTTTAGATAAAAACAGGAAAGAAGCGTTATGGAAAACTGCTTTCTGATGTGTGCATTCATTTCACAGACTTAAGTCGTCCTTTTGATGGAACAGTTTGGAAAGACTGTTTCTGTAGAATCTACAAAGGGATATTTTGGAGCACATTGAGGCCCATGCATGGAAATGGAGATATCTTCTGAGAATAACCATACAGAAACTTTCCGAGAAACTGTTTTTTGATATATGCATCCCTCTTACGGAGTTAAAAGTTTCTTTAGACTGAGCTGTTCAGAATCACAGTTATTGTAGAATCTGCAGAGGAATATTTCAGAATACATTGAAGTCTATGGTGAAAAAGGAAATATCTTCAGATAAAAACTAAGAAGAAGCATTTTGAGAAACTGCTTTGTGATGTGTGCATTCATCTCACAGAGTTAAAACTTTCTTTTGATTGATCAGATTGGAAATACTGTTTTTGTAGAATCTGCAAAGGGATAGTTGGGCATTCACTGGGCCTGTGGTGAAAAAGGAAATAACTTCAGATCAAGACTAGAAAGAAGCTTTCTGGAAACCACTTCTTGATGTGTGCATTCTTCTCACAGAGTTAAACATTTCTTTTGATTGAGCAGTTTGGAAAAACTGTTTTTGTAGAATCTGCAAAGGGATATTTTGGAGCACACTGATGCCTATGTTAAAAAATGAAATATCTTTAGATAAAAACTAGAAAGAAGCTGTTTGAGAAACTTCTTTGTGATGTAGTCATTCATCTCACAGAGGTAAACTTTTCATTTAACTGAGCAGTTTGGAAACACTGTTTTCATATAATCTGCAAAACCATTTTGGTAGCACAAAAAGACCTATGGTGAAGAAGGATATATATTAAGATAAAAACTGGAAAGAAGCATTATGAGAAACTGTTTTCTGATGACGGCATTCATCTCACAGAGGTAAATCTTTCTTTTGATGGAAGAGTTTGGAAACACTGTTTTGTAGAATATGCAAAGGGATATTTTGGAGCAAATTGAAGCCTATATTGGAAAAGGAATTATCTTCAGAGAAGAACTAGACAGAAGCTATTTAAGAAACTGATTTGTGATGTGTGCATTCATCTCACAGAGTTAAACCTTGCCTTTGATTTAGCAGTTTAGACACACTGTTTTTGTAGAATCTGCAAAGGTATATTTGGGAATGCATTGAGACCTATGGTGAGAAAGGAAACATCTTCAGATAAAAAATACAAAGAAGTTTTTGAGAAACTGCTTTGTGATGTGTGCGTTCATGTCACAAAGTTAAACATTTCTTTTCATTGAGCAGTTTGGGAACACTGCTTTTGTAGAATCTGTGAAGGGATTTTTTTGATCTTATTGAGGCCGATTTTGAAAAAGGAAATATCATCAGAGAAGCACTAGAAAGACACTTTCTGAGAAACTTCTTTGTGATGTTTGCATTCATTTCACAGAGTTAATGGTTTCTTTTTTACGCAGTTTAGAAACACCGTTTTTGTAGAATTTGCAAAGGAATATTTGGCAGCGTATTGAAGTCAAAGGTGAAAAAGGAAATAGCTTCAGATAAAAAAAGAAGTGTTCTTTGAAACAGCTTTATGATGTGTGCATTCATCTCAGAGAGGTAAAGATTTTTTTAATTGAGCAGTTTGGAAACACTTTTGTTGTATAATCTGCATAGGGATAATTGGGATTGGATTGAGACCTATGGTGGAAGAGGAAATATCTTTTGTAAAAACTAGATAGAAGCTTTCAGAGAAACTGCCTTGTGATATGTTCAGTCACCTCACATAGTTAAACCTTTCTTTTGATTGAGAAATTTGGAAACACTTTTTTTGTGGAATTGCCAAAAAGATATTTCTGGGTGCAGGAATATTTTGAGAGCATTGAGGCCTATGTTGAAATAGAAAATATCTTCAGATGAAAACTAGAGAGAAGCTTTCTGAGAAACTGCTCTATGATGTGTGCATTCTTCTCACACAGTTAAACGTTTTGTTTGATTGAGCAGTTTGGAAAACGTCTTTTGGTATAATCTGTGAAGCGATATTAGGTAGCACAAAAAAGCCTATGATAAAAAAGGAAACATCTTCAGATGAAAACTGGAAACAAGGGTTATGAGAAACTGCTTTCTTATGTGTGCATTCATCTCACAGAGGTAATTCCTTCTTTTGATGGAAAAGTTTGGAACACTGTTTTTGTAGAATCTGCGAAGGGATATTTCACAGTGCATTGAGGCCTATGGTGGAAAAGGAAATATCTTCAGAGAAGAACTAAACAGAAGCTTTCTGAGAAACTGATTTGTGATTTGTGCATTTATCTCACATACTTAAAACTTTCTTTTGACTTAGCAATTTGGAAACACTGTTTTTCTAGAATCTGTGAAGTGATATTTGGGTGGGCATTGAAGCCTATGGTGAAAAAGGAAGTATCTTCAGATAAAAACTAGAAAGAAGCTTTTTGAGAAACTGCTTTGTGATGTTGCCTTCAATTCACAGAGTTAAACCTGTGTTTTGTTTAAGCAGTTTGGAAACACTGTTAATGCAGAATATGTGAAAGGATATTTGGGAGTGCATTGAAGTCAATGGTGAAGAAGGAAACATCTTCAGATAAAAACAGGAAAGAAGATTTTTGAGAAAGTGCTCTGTGATGTTTACCATCATCTCACAGAGTTAAACCTTTCATTTCATTTAGAAGTTTGGAAACACTGTTTTTGTAGAATTTGTGAACTGCTTTGCAATGTGTGCTTTTATCTCACAGAGTTGAACTGTATTGTGATGCATGCATTCATCACAGAGAGTTAAACTTTTATTTTAACTTAGCAATTTGGAAATACTGTTTGTGTATAATTTGCAAAGTGATGTTAAGTAGCACAAAAAGGCCTATGGTGAACAAGGAAATATCTTCAGCTAAAAACTGGAAAGAAGCCTTATGAGAAACTGCTTTGTGATGTTTGCATTCATCTCACAGAGTTAAACCTTTCTTAGGATTGAACAGTTTGGAAACATGGTTTTTTCTTGAATCTGAAAATGCATTTTTGGGAGTGCATTGACACCTATGATGGAAAAGGAAATATCTTCAGAAAAGAAATAGACAGAAGCTTTCTGAGAAACTGCTTTGTGATTGCTGTATTCATCTAACAGAGTTAAACCTTTCTTTTGATTGATCAGTTTGGAAACACTGTTTTTGTAGAATCTGCAAACAGATATTTGGGAGCGCATTGAAGCCTATGGTGATAAAAGAAATATCTTCAGATAAAAAGTAGAGAGAAAATTTTTGAGAGACTGCTTTGTGATTTGTGCATTCAACTCACAGAATTAAACCCGTTTTTTGATTGAACATTTAGAAACACTGTTTTTGTACAATCTGCAAAGGGATATTTGGGAGCTCATTGAAGCTTATGGTGAAAAAAGAAATATCCTCACATAGAAACTAGAAAGAAACTTTTGAAAAACTGCTTTGTGATGTGTGCATTCATCTCACAGAGTTAAATATTTCCTTTGATTGATCAGTTTGGAATCACTGTTTTTGTAGCTTCTGCGATGGGATATTTGGGAGCACGTAAGGCATATGGTGAAAAAGGAAATAACTTCAGATAAAAACTAGAATGAAGATTTCTGATAAACAGTTTTGTGATGTGTGCATTCTTCTCACAGAGGTAAACGTTTCTATTGATTGAGAAGTTTGGAAACTTTTTTAAAAATCTGCAAAGGGATATTTGGGAGCACACTTATGCCTGTGGTGAAAATGGAAATATCTTGAGATAAAAAAAGAAAGAAGTTTTTTAGAAACTTCTTTGTAATGTATGCATTCAATTCACAGAGTTAGACCTGTTTTGTGATTGAGCAGTATGGAACCTCTGTTATTGCAGAATCTGCGATGGGAAATTTGGGATCACATTGAAGCCTATGGTGATAAAGGAAATATCTTTGGATAAAAACTTTTTGAGAAACTACTTTGTGATGTCCATATTCATCTCACAGAGTTCAACCTTTCTTTTTACTGAGCAGTTTGAAACACTCGTTTTGCAAAATCTGCAAAGCGATATTAGGCAGTGCAAAAAAAGCCTATGGTGAACAAGGAAATATCTTCAGATATAAAAACTGGAAAAAAGCGTTATGATACACTACTTTCTGATATGTGTATTCATCTCACATAGTTAAGTCCATCTTTTGAAAGAACAGTTTGGAAACACTGTTTTTGTAGAATCTGCGAAGGGATATTTGGTAGCACATGGAGGCCTAAGGTGGAAAAGTAAATGTCTTCAGAGAAGAATTCTGAGAAACTGCTTTTTGATGTGTGCATTTATCTTACAGAGTTAGAACTTTCTTTTGATTGAGCAGTTTGTATACACTGTTTTTGTAGAATCTACAAAGGGATATTAGGGAGTGCATTGATGTGTATGTTGGAAAAGCAAACCTCTACGGAGAAGAACTAGACAGAAGCATTCTGAGAAACTTCTTGGTTATGTGTGCATTCATCTCACAGAGGTCAACCTTTCTTTAGATTAATCAGATTGGAAACACTATTTTTGTAGAATCTGAGAAAGGATATTTCGAATACGTGAGGCATGTGGTGAAAAAGGAAATAACTTCAGGTAAAAATTAAATGGAAGCTATTTGAAAACCTGCTTTGTGATGTGTGCATTTTTCTCACAGAGTTAAACGTTTCTTTCAATTTGGGAGTTGGGTAACACTGTTATCATACAATCTGCAAAGGGATATTCAGGAGCCCACTGATGCCTAGGGTGAAAATGGAAATGTCTTTGGATAAAAACTACAAAGAAGCTCTTCAAGAAACTGCTTTCTGATGGATGGATTCACCTCACAGAAATAAACTTTTCTTTTGACAGCATTTTGGAAACACTGTTTTTGGATAATCTGTGAAGTGATGTTATATAGCGCAAAAAGGCCTATGGTGTACAAGGAAATATCTTCAGATAAAAACTGGAAAGTATCGTTATGAGAAACTGATATCTGATGTGTGCATTCATATCACAGTGCTAATTCCTTCTTTTAATGGAACTGTTCTGAAACACTGTTTTTACAGAATCTGCGAAGGGATATTTTGAGCATATTGAGGCCTATGGTTGAAAAGGAAATATCTTCAGAGAAGAATTAGACAGAAGCTATCTGAGAAACTGCTCTGTGTTGTCAGCATACACCTCACAGAGTTAAACCTTTCTTTTGATTGAGCACTTTGGAAAAATTGTTTTAGTAGAATCTGCGAAGGTATGTTTGGGAGCACATTGAAGCCTATGGTGAAAAACGAAATATCTTCAGAAAAAAACTAGAAGTAAGCTTTTTGAGAAACTGCTTTGTGGTGTGTGCATTCATGTCACAGAGTTAAACCTTTCTTTTGATTGAGCTGTTTGGAAACACTGTTTTGTTAGAATCTGCCAGGAATATTTGGGATGGCACTTATGCAATGGTGAAAAAGGAAATAGCTTTGGATAAAAAATACAAAGAAGGTTTGTGAGAAACTGCTATTCCATGTGTGCATTCTTCTCACAGATGGAAACATTTCTTTTGATTGAGAAGTTACAAAAAACTGTTTTTGTAGAATCGGCAATGGTATATTTGAAAGCACAGTTATGCCCATTGTGGAAAAAGGAAATATATTTGGATAAAAACTAGAAAGAAGCTTTCTGAGAAACTGCTTTGTGATACGTACATTCATCTTAAAGTGATAAAACATTCTTTTGACTGAGCTGTTTGGAAACACTGTTTTCGTGTAACCTGCAAAGGGATATTAGCTAGTGCAAATAAATCCTATGGTAAAAAAGAAAATATCTTCAGATAAAAACTGGAAAGAAGCTTTATGAGAAACTGATTTCTGATGTGCATTCATTTCATGAGCTAAGACCTTCTTTTGATGGAACATTTTGGAAACACTCTTTTTGTAGAATCTGCAAAGGGATATTTGGGAATGCATTAAGGCCTAAGGTGGAAGAGGAAATACATTCATTGAAGTACCAGACAGAAGCTTTCTGAAGAACTACTTTAGGATGTGTGCATTCATCTCACAGAGTTCAACCTTTCTTTTGATGGAGCAGTTTGGAAACACTGTTTGAATCTACGATGGGATATTTGGGAGCTCATTGAAGCCTATGTTGAACAAAGAAATATCTATGGATAAAAACTAGAAAGAAGCTTTTTGAGAAACTGCTTTGTGCCATGTGCATTCATCTCACAGGGATAAACCTTTCCTTTGAGCAGTTTGGAAACACTGGCTTTGTAGTATCTGTGAAGGAATATTTGGGAATGATTGAAGCCTATGATGAAAAAGGAAATATCTTCCAATAAAGACTAGAAAAAAACTTTTTGATAAACTGTTTTGAGATGTGTGCATTCATCTAACAGAGTTAAAACTTTCTTTTGATTGATCAGTTTGAAAACACTGCTTTTGAAGAATCTGCAAAGGTATATTTGGGAGTGCCTGTGGTGAAAGAAAAAGTAATTTCAGATAAAAGCTAGAAAGAAGATTTTGAAAAACTGCTTTGTGATGTGTACGTTCAACTCACAGAGTTAAAACTGGTTTTTGACTGGGCAGTTTGGAAACACTGTTTTCTCAAAATATGTGAAGTGATACTAAGCAGTGAGAAAAAGCCTATGGTGAACAAAGAAATATCTTCAGATAAAAACTGGAAAGAAGCTTTATGAGAAACTGCTTTCTGATGTGTGCATTCGTCTCACAGAGTTAAGTCCTTCTTTTGATGGAACTGTTTGGGAACACTGTTTTTGTATAATCTGTGAAGGTATATTTGGGAGCACATCGAGGCTTATGGTGGAATAGGAAATATCTTCAGAGAAGAACTAGACAGAAGCTTTCTGAGAAACTGCTTTGTGATGTGTGCATTCATCTAACAGAGTTACACCTTTATTTTGATTCAGCAGTTTGGAAACACTGTTTTTGTAGAAACTGCAAAGGGACATTTGTGTCCTTTGTCAACATAAGCCTCAAGGTGAATTCAAATATCCCTTCACAGATTCTACAAACACTGTGTTTCCAAACTGCTTAATAAAAAGAATGGTTAAACTCTGTGAGATGAATGCACACATCACAAAGCAGTTTCTCAGAATCTTTCTAGTTTGCATTGGAAGAGTGTACCATTTTCACCATAGGCCTCAGGCACCCCAAAATATCCCTTTGTAGATTCTAGGAGAACAGAGTTTCCAAATTGCTCAATGAAAAGGAATGTTTACCTATGTGAGATCAATCCATGCATTACAAAGCAGTTTCTTATAAAGCTCCTTTCTAGTTTTTATTTGAAGATATTTCCTTTTTCACCACAGGCCTGAAAGCACTACCAAATATCATTTTTCAGATTCTACAAAAACAGTGGCTAAAAAATGCTAAATCAAGAGAAAGGTTCAACTCTGTGAGAGGAATGCACACATCTCAAAGCAGTTCCTCAGAAAACTTCTGCCTAGTTTGTATAGAAGATCTTTCCTTTGTCACCATAGGCCTCAAAGTGATTCCAAATATCCCTTCACATATTCTAAAACCACTTTGTTTCCAAACTGCTTAATCAAAAGAAAGTTAAACTCTGTGAGGTAAATGCACTCATCACAAAGTAATTTCTCAGAATTTTTTTCTTGTTTGTTTTGGAAGATATTGCTTTTTTCACCATAGTCCTCAACGCCCTCCCAAATATCCCTTTGCAGATGCTAGGAAAACAGAGTTTCCAAACTGTTCAATGAAAGGAAATGTTTAATTCTGTGAGATAAATGCATACACCACAAAGCAGTCTCTAAGAAAGCTTTCTAGTTTTTATGTGAGGATATTTCCCTTTTCACCATAGGCCTCAAAGTGCTCACAAATATCCCTTTGCAGATTCTAGAAAAACAGTGTTTCCAAACTGCTCAATCAACATAATGGTTCAATTCTGTTAGACTAATGCACACATCACAAAGCAATTTCTCACAAAGATTCTTTCTAGTTTTTATTAGAAGATATTTCCTTTTTCACCATAATCATCAAAGTGCTCCCAAATATCACTTTGCATATTCTAGGAAAACACAGTTTCCAAACTGCTCAATGAAAAGAAAGGTTTAACTCAGTGAGATGAAAGTACACATCAAAAAGCAGTTTCTAAGAAAGCTCCTTTCTAATTTTTGTGTGATGATATTTGATTTTTCACCATAGGCCTCAAAGCACTCACAAATATCCCCTTGCAGATTGGAGAAAAACAGTGGTTCCAAAATGCTCAATCAACAGAAAGGTTCACCACTGTTAGAGGCATGCACACATCATAAGGCAATTTCTCATAAAGGTTCTTTGTAGTTTTTATTAGAAGATATTTCCTTTTTCACCATAATCGTCAATGTGCTCCCAAATATCCCTTTGCAGATCCTAGAAGAAGAGAGTTTCCAAACTTCTGAATGAAAAGAAACGTTTAACTCTGTGAGATGAATGGACACATCACAAAGCAGTTTCTAAGAAAGCTCCTTTCAGTTTTTATGTGAGAATATTTCCTTTTTCACCATAGACCTCAAAGTGCTCCCAAATATTCCTTTGCAGATTCTACAAAAACAGTGGCTCCAAACTGCTCAACCAAAATAATGGTACAACTCTGTGAGAGGAATGCACACATCTCAAAGTAGTTCCTCAGAAAGCTTCTGTCTAGTTTGTATCAGAAGATATGCCTTTTGTCACCATGGGCCTCAAGGCAAATCAAAACATCCCATCGCAGGTTCTAAAAAGACAGTGTTTCCAAACTGCTCAATGAAAAGAATGGTTAAACTTGCTGAGATAAATGCACATATCACAATGTAATTTCTCAGATACTTTCTTTCCAGTTTGTATTGGAAGATATTGCCTTTTTCACCATAGGCCTCAATGCACTCCCACGTACCCCTTTGCAGATTCTAGGAGAAGTGTTTCCAAACTGCTCAATGAAAAGAAACGTTTAACTCTGTGAGATGAATGCACACATCACAAAGCAGTTTCTAAGAAAGCTCCTTTCTAATTTTAATGTGAGGATATTTCCTTTTTCACCATAGGTCTCAAAGCACTCACAAATATCCCTTTGCAGATTCCAGAACAACAGTGGTTTCAAAATTCTCAATCAACAGAGTGGTTGAAGTCTGTTAGAGGAATGCAAACATCACTAAGCAATTTCTCAGAAAGGTTCTATCTAGTTTTTATGTGAAGATATTTCCTTTGTCACCATAGGCCTCAAGGGGAATCCAAATATCACTTTGCAGATTCTACAAACACTGTGTTTCCAAACTGCTCCATCAAAAGAATTGTTAAACTCTGTGAGGTCAATGCAGACATCACAAAGAAATTTTTTCAGAAACTTTTTTTCTAGTTTGTATCGGAAGATATTTCCTTTTTCAACATAGGCCTCAAAGCACTCCTAAATATCCCTTTGCAGATTCTAGGAGAACAGAGTTTCCAAACTGCTCAATGAAAAGAAATGTTTAACTCTGTGAGATGAATGCTCACATCAGAAAGTAGTCTCTAAGAAATCTCCTTTCTGGTTTTTGTGTGGGGATATTTTGTTTTTCACTGTAGGCTTCAAAGCACTCACAAATATCCATCTGCACATTGTAGAAAAACAGTTGTTCCAAACTGCTCAATCAAAAGAATGGTTCAACTCTGTTATAAGAATGCACACATCACAAAGCAATTTCTCAGAGAGGTTCTTTCCAGTTTTTATCTGAAAATACCTCGTTTTTCACCATAGGCCTCAAAACTCTCCCAAATGTTTCCAAACTGCTCAATCAAAAGAATGGTTCAACTCTGTGAGAGTAATGCACACATCTCAAAGCAGTTTCCCCAAAAGCTTCTGTACAGTGTGTATCAGAAGATATTTCCTTTGTCACCATAGGCCTCTAAGGGTATCCAAATATCCCTTTGTAGATTCTACAAACACTGTGTTTCCAAACTACTCAATCAAAAGAAAGGTTAAACTCTGAGAGATGAATGCACACATCCCAAAGCAATTTCTCAGAAACTTTCTTTCCAGTTTGTATCGGAAGATATTTCTTTTTTCACCATGATCCTCAATGACCTCCCAAATATCCCTTCACAGATTCTAGAAGAACAGATTTTCCAAACTTCTAAATGAAAAGAAATATTTAACTCTGTAAGATGAATGGACAAATCACAAAGCAGTTTCTAAGAAAGCTCCTCTCTGGTTTTTATGTGAGTATATTTCCTTTCTCACCATAGGCCTCAAAGCACTCAGAAATATCCCTTTTCAGATTCTAGAAAAACAGTGGTTCCAAATTTCTCAATAAACAGAATGGTTCAACTCTGTTAGGGGAATGCACCCATCACAAAGCAATTTATCAGAAAGGTTCTTTCTAGTTTTTATGTGAAAATATTTCCTTCTTCACCATAGACCTCAACGTGCTCCCAAATATCCCTTTACAGAGTCTAGAAGAACAGAGTTTCCAAACAGTTAAGTAAAAAGAAAGGTTTAACTCTGTGAGATGAATGGACACATCACAAATCAGTTTCTAAGAAAGCTCCTTTCAGTTTTAATGTGGGGAAATTTCCTTTTTCACCATACACCTCAAAGCACTCCCAAATAGCCCTTTGCAGATTCTACAAAAACAGTGTCTCCAAACAGCTCAATCAAACGAAAGGTTCAATTCTGTGAGAGGAATGAATGCATCCAAAGAAAGCTTCTGTCTAGTTTGCATCAGAAGATGCATCCTTTGTCACAAAAGGCCTCAAGGTAAACCCAAATATCCCCTCACAGATTCTACAAACACTGTGTTTCCAATCTGCTCAAACAAAAGAAAGTTTAAACACTGTGAGATGAATACACACTTCACAAAGCAATTTCTCAGAAACTTTCTATCTTGTTGATGTTGCCTTTTTCACCATAGGCCTCAAAGTGCCCCCAAATATCCCCTTGCAGATTCTAGGAGAACAGATTTTTCAAAGTGCTCAATGAAAAGAAACGTTTAACTCTGAGATGAATGCAGACATCACAAAGCAGTTTCTAAGAAAGATCCTTTCTAATTTTCATGTGAAGATATCTCCTTTTTCACCTTAGGCCTCAAAGCGCCCCCAAATATCCTTTTGCATATTCTAGAAAAAGAAGAGTGGTTCCAAATTGCTCAATCAAAATAATGGTTCAACTTTGCAGATTCTAAAAAAAACGGTGGCTCTAAACTGCTCAATCAAAAGAAAGGTTCAACACTGTGTGAAGAATGCATACGTCTCAAAGCAGTTCCTCAGAATGCTTCTGTCTGGTTTGTATCAGAAGATATGTACTTTGTCATAATAAGTCTCAAAGTGAATCCAAATATCCCTTCACAGATTCGAAAAACACTGTGTTTCCAAACTGCTCAATCAATAGAATGGTTAAACTCTGTGAGATGAATGCACACATTATGAAGCAACTTCTCAGAAACTTTCTTTCTTGTTTACATCAGAAGATACTACCTTTTTCACCATTGGCCTCAAAGCACTCCCAAATATCCCTTTGCAGATTCTAGGAGAACAGTGCTTCCAAACTGTTCAATGAAAAGAAACGTTGAACTCTGTGAGATGAATGCACACATCACGAAGCAGTTTCTAAAAGAAAGCTCTTTCTAATTTTTATGTGAGGATATTTCCTTTTTCACCATAGGCCTCAAAGTGCTCACAAATATCCATTTGCAGATTCTAGAAAAACAGTGCTTCCAAAATGCTCAGTAAACAGAATGGTTGAAGTCTGTTTGAGAAACGCACACAACACCAAGCAATTTCTCAGAAAGGTTCTTTCTAGTTTTTATGTGAAGATATTTCCTTTTTCAACATAGGCCTCAAAGTGCTCCGAATTACCCCTTTGCAGATTCTACAAAAACAGTGTTTCCAAACTGCTCAATCAAAAGAACAGTTCAACTCTGTAAGAGGAATGCACACATCTCAAAGGAATTCCTCAGAAATCTTCTGCCTAATTTGTATCAGAAGATATTTCCTTTGTCAAGATAGGCCTCAAGGCCAATCCAAATATCCCTTTGAATATTCTAAAAACACTGTGGTTTCAAACTGCTCATTCAAAAGAATGCTTAAACTCTGTGAGATGAATGCACACATCACAAAGCAATTTCTCAGAAAATTTCTTTCTAGTTTGTATTGGAAGCTATTGCCTATTCATCGTAGGCCTCAATGTCCTCCCTTATATCCCTTATCAGATTCTAGGAGAACAGAGTTTCCAAACTCTTCAATGAAAAGCATCCTTTAACTCTGTGAAATGAATGCACACATAACAAAGCAGTTTCTAAGAAAGCTGCTTTCTAATTTTTATGTGAGGATATTTCATTTTTCACTGTAGACCTCAAAGCACTCACAAATATCCCTTTGCAGATTCTAGAAAAACAGTGGTTCCAAACTGCTAAGCAGAATGGTTCAACTCTGTTAGAGGAATGCACATGTCACAAAGCAATTTCTCAGAAAGGTTCTTTCTAGTTTTTATTAAAAGATATCCCTTTTTCATCATAGGCCTCAAAGCGCTCCCAAATATCCCTTTGCAGATTCTACAAAAACAGTGGTTCTGAACTGCTCTCTCAAAAGAATGGTTCATCTCTGTGAGAGGAATGCACACATCACAAAGCAGTTACTGAGAAAGCTTCTGTCTAGTTTGTATCAGAAGTTATTTACTTTGTCACCATAGGCCTCAAGGCGAATGAATATATCCCTTCTCAGATTCAACAAACACGTGTTTCCACACTGCTGAATCAAAAGAATAGTTAAAGTCTGTGTGATGAATGTAGAGGTCACAAAGAAATTTCTCAGAATCTTTCTTTCCAGTTTGTACTGGAAGATACTGCCTTTTTCAGCATTGGCCTCAAAGTGCTCCCAAATATCCCTTTGCAGATTGTAGAAGAACAAAGTTTCCAAACTGTTCAATGAAAAGAAATGTTTAACTCTGTGAGATGAATGGACACATCACAAAGCCATTTCTAAAAAAGCTCCTTTCTAGTTTTTATGTGAAGATATTTTCTTTTTCACCAAAGGTCTTGAAGCGCTCCCACATATCCCTCTGTAGATTCTAGGAAAACAGTGTTTCCAAACTGCTCAATCAAAAGAATAGTTCAGCTCTGTGAGAGTAAAGCAAACATCACAAAGCAGCTCCTCAGAAAACTTCTGTCTAGTTTGTATCATCAGAAGATGCTTCATTTTTCACTATAGGCCTCAAGGTGAATCCAAATATCCCTTTGCAGATTCTACAAACACTGTTTTTCCAAACTTCTCAATCAAAAGAATGGTTAAACTCTGTGAGATAAATGCACACATCACAAAGCAGTTTCTCAGAAACTTTCTTTTTAGTTTGTGTTGAAAAATATTTCCTTTTTCACCATAGACTTCAATGTGCTTACAAATATCCCATTGTAGATTCTAGAAGAAAGTTTCCAAATTGCTCAATGAAAAGAAACTTTTAACTCTGTGAGACGAATGCACACATCACAGAGCAGTTTCTAAGAAAGCTCCTTTCTAGTTTTTATGTGAAGATAGTTCCTTTTTCACCATAGGCCTCAAAGTGCTCCCAAATATTCCTTTGCAGATTCTACAAAAACAGTGGCTCCAAACTGCTTAATCAACAGAACAGTTCAACTCTGTGAGAGGAAAGCACACATCACAAAGCAGTTCCTCATAAAGCTTTTGTCTACTTCGTTTCAGAAGATATTTCCTTTGTCATCATAGTCCTCCAGGTGAATGAAAATACCCCTTGGCAGATTCTACAAACACTGCGTTTCTAAATTGCTCAATCAGAAGAATGGTTAAACTCTGGGAGATGAATGTGCACATCACAAAGAAATTCCTCAGAAACTTTCTTTCTAGTTTGTGTTGGAAGATATTGTCTTTTTCAGCATAGGCCTCAATGTGTTCCCAAATATCCGTTTACAGATTTTAGAACAACAGAGTTCCCAACTGCTCAATGAAAAGAAACGTTTAGCTCTGTGAGATGAAGGCACACATCACAATGCAGTTTCTAAGGAAGCCCCTTTCTAGTTTTTATGTGAGGATATTTCATTTTTCCCCATAGGCCTCAAAGTGCTCCCAAATATCCTTTGCAGATTCTAGAAAAACAGTGATTCCAAAATGTTCAATCAAAAGAATGGTTCAATTCTGTTAGAGGAATGCACACATCAAAAAGCAATTTCTCTGAAAGGTTCATTCTAGTTTTTCTGTGAAGATATTTCATTTTTCACCATAGTCCTCAAAGTGCTCCAAATATCCGTTTGCAGATTCTACAAAAAGACTGTTTCCAAACTGCTCAATCAAAAGAAACTTTCACCATAGGGCTCAAAGCACTCACAAAGTCCCCTTTTAGATTCTGGAAAAACAGTGTGCCCAAACTGGTCAATGAAATGTTCAACTCTGTGAGATGGATGCACACATCACAAAGCAATTTCTCAAAAACTTTCTTTCCAGTTTGTATCAGGAGATATTTCCTTTTTCACTGTAGGCCTCAATCCACTCCCAAATATCCCTTTGCAGATTCAAGGAAAACACAGTTTCCAAACTGCCTAATGAAAAGGAATATTTATCTCTGTGAGACGAATGCCCACATCGCAAAGCAGTTTCTAAGAAAGCTCCTTTCTGGTTTTTATGTGTGTATATTTGCTTTGTCAGCATAGGCCTCAAAGCCCTCACACATATCGCTTTGCAGATTCTAGAAAAACAGTGCTTCCAAACTGCCCATTCAACATATGTTCAACTCTGTTGGAGGAATGCACACATCAGAAAGCAATTTCTCAGAAAGTTTCTTTCTAGTTTTTATGTGAAATTATTTCCTTTTTCAACATAGGCCTCAAAGTGCTCCCAAATATCCCATTGCAGATTCTACAAAAACAGTGGTTCTAAACTGCTCAATCGAAATAACAGTTCAACTCTGTGAGAGCAATGCACACATCACAAAGCAGTTCCTCAGAAAGCTTCTGTCTAGTTTGTATCAGAAGATATTTCCTTTGTCACCATAGGCATCAAGGTGAATCCAAATATCCCTTCACAGATTCTACAAACAATGTGTTTCCAAACTCCTTAATGAAAAGAATGGTCCAACTCTCTCAGATGAATGCACACACCACAAAACAATTTCTCAAATACTTTCTTTCTAGTTGGTATCGGAAGATATTTCCTTTTTCACCATAGGCCTCAAAGCATTCCAAATATCCCTTTGCAAATTCCAGAAGGACAGAGTTTCCAAACTGCACAATGAAAAGAAATGTTTATCTCAGTGAGATGAATGGACACATCACAAAGCAGTTTCAAAGGAAGCCCCTTTCAGTTTTTATGTGAGGTTATTTCCTTTTTACCACAGACCTCAAATCACTCCCAAATATCCCTTCGCAGATTCTACAAAAAGAGTGGTTCCTCAGAAAACTTCTGTCTAATTTGTATCAGAAGATATTTCATTTTTCACTATAGGCCTCAAGGTGAATCCAAATATCCCTTCACAGATTCTACAAACACTGTTTTTCCAAACTTCTCAATCAAAAAAATGGTTAAATTCTGTGAGATAAATGCACACATCACAAAGCAATTTCTCAGAAACTTTCTTTCTAGTTTGTGATGAAAAACATTTCCTTTTCCACCATAGGCTTCAATGCACTCACACATATCCCATTGTAGATTCTAGAAGAAGAGAGTTTCCAAATTGCTCAATGAAAAAGAAACGTTTAATTCTGTGAGACGAATGCACACATCACAAAGCAGTTTCTAAGAGAGCTCCTTTCTAATTTATATGGGAGAATATTTCCTTTTTCACCATAGGCCTCAAAGCGCTCACAAATATCCCTTTCAGATTCTAGAAAAACAGTGGTTCCAAGCTGCTCAATCAACAGAATGGTTCGAGTCTGTTAGAGGAATGCACAGATCCCCAAGCAATTTCTCAGAAAGGTTCTTTCTAGTTTTTATGTGAAGATATTTAGTTTTTCACCATAGGCCTCTAAGTTTTCCAAAATATGCCTTTGAAGATTCCACAAGAACAGTGGTTCCAAACTGCTCAATCAAAAGAAAGTTTCAACTCCTTGAGAAGAATTCACACATAACAAAACAGTTCCTCACAATGCTTCTGTCTAGTTTGTATCAGAAGATATTTCCTTTTTCAAAACAGACCTCAAGGCGAATCCAAATATCCCTTCTCATATTCAAAAAAACACAGTGTTTCCAAACTGCTCAATCAAAAGAATGGTTAAATTCTGTGAGATGAATGCACACAAAGCAAAGCAATTTCTCAGAAAACTTCTTTCTAGTTTGTATTGGAAGATATTTCCTTTTTCACCACAGGCCTCAATGGTCTCCCAAATATCCCATTGCAGATTCTAGTAGAACAGTTTCCAAACTGCTCAATGAAAAGAAACGTTTAACTCTGTGAGTTGAATTGAAACATCACAAAGCAGTTTCTAAGAAAGCTCTTTTCAGTATTTATGTGAGGATATTTCCTTTTTCACCATATGCCTCAAAGCGCCCACAAATATCCCTTGGCAGATTCTAGAAAAACAGTAGTTCAAAACTGCTCAATCAAAATAACGTTTCAACTCTGTTAGAAGAATGTACACATCAGAAAGCAATTTCTCAGAAAAGTTCTTTCTAGTTTTTATGTGAAGATATTTCCTTTTTCAACACAGGCCTCAAAACACTCCCAAATATACCTTTGCAGATTCTACAAGAACAGTGATTCCAAACTGCTCAATCAAAATAAAGGTTCACCGCTGGGAGAGGAAAGCACACATCACAAAGCAGTTCTTCAGAAAGCTTCTGTCTAGTTTATATCAGAAGATATTTCCTTCGTCAAAAAAGACCTCAAGGAGAATCCAAATATACCTTCGCTGATTCCACAACCACTGTTTCCAAACTGCTAAATCAAAAGAATGGTTAAACTCTGTGAGATGAATGCACACATCACAAAGCAATTTCTCAGAAACTTTCTTTCTTGTTTGTATTGGAATGTATTTCCTTTTTCAGCATAGGCCTCAATGTGCTCCCAAATATCGCTTTGCTGATTCTAGAAGAACAGAGTTTATAAACTGCTCAATGAAAAGAAAGGTTTAATGCTTTGAGATGAATGCACACATCACAAAGCAGTTTCCAAGAAAGCTTCTTTCTAGTTTTTATGTGAGAATATTTCCTTTTCCCCATAGGCCTCAAAGCGCTCACAAATATCCCTCAGAAAATTCTAGAAAAACAATGGTTCCAAACTGCTCATACAATAGAATGGTTCAACTCTGTGAGAGGAATGCACCCATCACAAAGAGGATCCTCAGAAACCTTCTGTCTAGTTTGTAACAGAAAATATTTCTTTTGTCACCATAGGCCTCAAGGGGAATCGAAATATCCCTTTGCATGTTGTACAAACACTGTGTTTCCAAACTGCTCAATCAAAAGGGTGGTTAAACTCTGTGAGATGAGTGCACACATCAGAAAGCAATTTCTCAGAAACTTTCTTTCTAGTTTATATTGGAAGATGTTTCCTTTTTCGCCATAGGCCTCAAGGTGCTCCAAATATCCTTTTGTAGAATCTAGAATAACAGAGTTTCCAAACTGCTCAATGAAAAGAAAGGTTTACCTCTGTGAGATGAAGGCATACATCACAAAGCAGTTTCTAAGAAGCTTCCTTTCTAGTTTTTATGTGAGGATATTTCCTTTTTCAGCGTAAGTCTCAAACCTCTCACAAATATCCCTTTGTGGATTCTGGAAAAAGAGTGATTCCAAACAGTTTAATCAAAAGAATGGTTCAACTCTGTTACAGGAATGCACACATCACAGAGAATTTTCTCAGAAAAGTTCTTTCTAGTTTTTATGTGAAGATATTTCTGTTTTCAACATAGGCCTCAAAACGCTCCCAAATATCCTTTTGCAGATTCTACAAGAAGAGTGATTTTAAAATGCTCCATCAAAATAAATGTTCACCTCTGTGAGAGGAAGGCACACGTCACAAAGCAGTTCCTCAGAAAGCTTCTGTCTAGTTTGTATCAGAAGATATTTCTTTTGTCAAAAAGGCCTCAAGGTGAATCCAAATATCCCTTCGCAGATTCTACAAACACTGTTTCCAAACTGCTGAATGAAAAGAATGGTTAAACTCTCTGAGATGAATGCACACAACACAAAGCAATTTCTCAGAAACTTTCTTTCTAGTTTCTATCAGAATGTATTTCCTTTTTCACCATAGGCCTCAATGCAATCCCAAATATCCATTTGCAGATTCTAGAAGTACAGAGTTTCCAAACTGCTCAATGAAAAAAAAGGTTTAACGCAGTGAGATGAATGCACACATAACAAAGCAGTTTCCAAGAAAGCTTCTTTTTAGTTTTTATGTGAGGATATTTCCTTTTTCACCATAGGCCTCAAACGCTCAAAAATATCCCTTTGCAGACTCTAGAAAAACAGTGGTTCCAAACTGCTCAACCAAAAGAATGGTTCAACTCTGTTACAGGAATGTACATATCACAAAGCAGTTCCTCAGAAACCTTCTGTCTAGTTTGTATCAGAAGATATTTCCTTTGTCACCATTGGCCTCAAGGGGAATCCAAATATCCCTTCACAGATTCTACAAACAATGTGTTTCCAAGGAGCTCAATCAAAAGAATGGCTAAATTCTGTGAGATGAATGCCCACATCACAAAGCAATTTCTCAGCAACTTTCTTTCTAATTTGTATCAGAAGATATTTCCTTTTTCACCATAGGCCTCAATGCACTCCAAATATCCCTTTGCAGATTCTAGAAGAACAAAGTTTCCAAACTGCTCAACATAAAGAAAAGTTTAACTCCATGAGATGAATGCACACATCACAAAGCAGTTTTTAAGAAAGCTCCTTTCTAGTTTTTATGTGAGTATATTTCCTTTTTGACCATTGACCTCAAAGCCCTCAAAAATATCCCTTTGAAAATTCTACAAGAACAGAGATTCCAAACTGCTCAATGAAAAGAAATGTTTAACTCTGTGAGATGAATGCACAATCACAAAGCAGTTTCTAAGAAAGCTTCTTTCTGGTTTTTATGTGAGGACATATCCTTTTTTAGCATAGGCCTCAAAGTGCTCACAAATATCCCTTTGCAGATTCTAGAACAACAGTGTTTCCAAACTGCTCAATCAAAAAAACAGTTCAACTCTGTGAAAGGATTGCACACATCACAAAGAAGTTCCTCAGAAAGCCTCTGTCTAGTTTGTGTCAGAAGATATTTCCTTTGTCACCATAGGCCTCAAGGCGAATCTAAACACCTGTTCGCAGTTTCTACAAGCACTGTGTTTCCAAACAGCTCAATCAAAAAGGGGGTTAAGCTCTGTGATAAGAATGCACGTATCAGAAAGCAATTTCTCAGAAACTTTCTTTCTAGTTTGTATCAGAAGGTATTTCCTTTTTTGCCATAGGCCTCAAGACACTGCAAATATCCCTTTGCAGATTCAAGAAGAATAGAGTTTCCAAGTTGCTCAATGAAGAGAAATGTTGAACTCTGTGAAACGAATGCACACACCACAAAGCAGTTTCTAAGAAAGCTCCTTTCTAGTGTTTATGTGAGGATATTTCCTTTTTCAGCATAGGCTTCAAAATGCTCACAAATATTCCTTTTCAGACTGTAGAAAGCCAGTGGTTCCAAACTATTCACTCCAAAGAACAGTTCAAGTCTGTTAGAGGAATGCACACATCGCAAAGCATTTTCTCAGAAAGGTTCTTTCTAGTTTTTATGTGAAGATATTTCCTTTTTCAACATAGGCCTCAAAATGCTCCCAAATATCACTTTGCAGATTCTACAAGAACAGTGATTCCAAATTGCTCAATAAAAAGCAAGCTTCATCTCTGTGAGAGGAATGCACACATCACAAAGCAGTTCCTCAGAAAGCTTCTGTCTAGTTTGTATCAGAAGATGTTTCCTTTGTTAAAAAAGGCTTCATGCGAATCCAAATATCCCATTGCAGTCTACAAACAGTTTCCAAACTGCTAAATCAAAAGATTTGTTAAACTCTGTGAGACCAATGCACACATCACAAAGCAATTTCTCAGAAACTTTCTTTCTACTTTGTATCAGAATGTATTTCCTTTTTCATCATAGGCCTCAATGAGCTCCCAAATATCCCTTTGCAGATTCTAGAAGAACAGTTTCCAAGCTGCTCAATGAAAAGAAAGGTCTAATGCTGTGAGACGAATACACACTAAACAAAGCAGTTCCCAAGAAAGCTTGTTTCTAGTTTTTATGTGAGAATATTTCCTTTTTCACCATAGGCCTCAAAGAACTCAAAAATATCCCTTTGAAGATTCTAGGAAAACAGTGGTTCCAAACTGCTTAATCAAAATAATGGTTCAACTCTGTTAGAGGAATGCCCACATCACAAAGTGGATCCTCAGAAAGCTTCTTTCTAGTTTGAATCAGAAGGTATTTCCTTTGTCACCATAGGACTTAAGGGGAATCTAAATATACCTTCACAGATTTTACAGATACTGTGTTTCCTAAATGCTCAATTAAAAAATGGTTAAACTCTGTGAGATGAATGCACACATCACAAAGCAATTTCTCAGAATCTTTGTTTCGAGTTTGTATCAGAAGATATTAACTTTTTCACCATGGGCCTCAATGCGCTCCCAAATATCCCCTTGCAGATTCTAGAAAAAGACTGTTTCCAAACTGCTCAATCAAAATAAAGGTTCAACTCTGTAAGATGAATGCACACATCACAGAGCAGTTTCTCAGAAACTCTCTTTCTAGTTTGTATCACAAGATATTTCCGTTTTCACCATAGATTTCAAAGCACTCACAAATATCCCTTTGCAGATTCTAGAAAAACAGTGGTTCCAAACTGCTCAATCAAAAGAATGGTTTGATTCTGTGAGGGGAATGCACACATCACAAAGCAGTTTCTCAGAAAGCTTCCTTCGAGTTTTTAGGTGACGATATTTCCTTTTTCACCATAGCCAGGAAAGGGCTCCAAAATATCCCTTTGCAGATTCTACTAAAACGGTGTTTCCAAAATGCTCCATTAAAAGAAACTTTTAACTCTGTGAGATGAATATACATATCACAAAGCAGTTTCTCATAAATGTCCTTTCTAGTTTTTATGTGGAGATATTTTATTTTTCACCAAAAGACTCAAACTGCTCCCAAATATCCCTTTTCAGATTGTACAAAAACAGTGGTTCCAAACGACTCCATCAAAAGAATGGTTCAACTCTGTGAGATGAATGCACACATCACAAAGCATTCTCTCAGAAAGCCTCTGTCTAGTTTTTATTGGAAGATAATTCCTTTTACACCACTGGCCTCCATGCAAATCTGAATATCCCTTGAGAGATTCCACAAAAACTCTTATTTCCAAACTGCTCAATAAAGAAATGTTTCAACCCTGTGAGGTGAATGCACACGTCACAAAGCAGTTTCTCAGAAACTCTCTTTCTAGTTTGTATCAGAGGATATTTCCCTTTTTCACCATAGGCCTCAACATGCTCCCAAATATCCCTTTGCAGATTCTAGAAGAACAGAGTTTCCAAACTGCTCAAGTGAAAAGAAATGTTAAACTCTGTGAGGTGAATGCACTCATCTCAAAGCAGTCTCTCAGAAAGCTTCTGTCTAGTTAGTATCAGAAGATATTTCCTTTTTCTCCATAGGCCTCAAGGCGAATCCAAATATCCCTTAGCAGATTCTTCAAACACTGTGTTTCCAAACTATTCAAACAAAAGAATGGTTTAACTCAGTGAGATGAATGCAAAGATCACAAAGCTGTTTCTAAGAAAGCTCCTTTCTAGTTTTTATATGAGGATATGGACTTTTTTACTGCAGACCTCAAAGCACTCATACATATCCCTTGGCAGATTCTAGAAAAACAGTGGTTCCAAACTGCTCAATCAAAAGAATGGTTCAACTCTGTGAGAGGAATGCCCATACCACACAGCAGTTTCTCAGAAAGCTTCCTTCGAGTTTTTAGGTGAAGATATTTCCTTTATCACTATAGGCATGAAAGTTCTCCAAAATATCCCTTTGCAGATTCTACAAAAATGGTGTTTCCAAAATGCTCCATCAAAAGAAGGTTTTAATTCTGTGAGATAAATGCAAATATCACAAAGCAGTTTATGAGAGATCTCCTTTCTAGTTTTTATGTAAGGATATTTCTTTTTCACCATAAGACTCAAAGGGCTCCCAAATATCCATTTTCAGATTCTACAAAAAGAGTGGCTCTAAACTGCTCCATCAAAAGTGTGGTTCAACTATGTGAGATGAATGCACACATCTCAAAGCAGTTTCTGAGAATCTCTCTTTCTGGTTTGTATCAGAAGATATTTCCTTTCTCACCGTAGACCTCAATGTGCTCCCAAATATCCCTTTGCAGATTCTAGAAGATCAGAGATTCCAAACTGGTCAATGAAAAGAAACGTTTAACCTGTAGGATGAATGCACACATTACAAAGCATTCTCTCAGAAAACTTCTGTCTAGTTTGTATTGGAAGATATTTCCTTTTTCACCACTGGCCTACATGCAAATCCAAATATCCTTTCACAGATTCTACAAACACTGTGTTTCCAAACTGCTCCATCAAAAGAATGGTTCAACTCTGTGAGATGAATGCACACATCACAAATCAGTTTCTCAGAAACTCCCTTTCTAGTTTGTATTGGAAGACATTTCCTTTTTCACCATTGGACTCAAAGCACTCCCAAATATCCCTTTGCAGATTCTAGAAAAGCAGTGGCTCCATATGAACTTTAAAGTAGTTTTTTCCAATTCTGTGAAGAAAGTCACTGGTAGCTTCATGGGGATGACATTGAATCTGTAAATTACCTTGGGCAGTATGGCCATTTTCATGATACTGATTCTTCCTACCCATGAGCATGGAATGATCTTCCATTTGTTTGTATCCTCTTTTATTTCCTTGAGCAGTGGTTTGTAGTTCTCCTTGAAGAGGTCCTTCACATCCCTTGTAAGTTGGATTCCTAGGTATTTTATTCTCTTTGAAGCAATTGTGAATGGGAGTTCACTCATGATTTGGCTCTCTGTTTCTCTGTTGTTGGTGTATAAGAATGCTTGTGATTTTTGTACATTGATTTTGTATCCTGAGAATTTGCTGAAGTTGCTTATCAGCTTAAGGAGATTTTGGGCTGAGACAATGGGGTTTTCTAGATATACAATCATGTCGTCTGCAAACAGGGACAATTTGACTTCCTCTTTTCCTAAATGAATAAATTTTATTTCCTTCTCCTGTCTAATTGCCCTGGCCAGAACTTCCAACACTATGTTGAAAAGGAGTGGTGAGAGAGGGCATCCCTGTCTTGTGCCAGTTTTCAAAGGGAATGCTTCCAGCTTTTGCCCATTCAGTATGATAGAGCATGCATCGCCAAGTCAATCCTAAGCCAAAAGAACTAAGCTGGAGGCATCACACTACCTGACTTCCAACTACACTACAAGGCTACAGTAACCAAAACAGCATGCTACTGGTACCAAAACAGAGATATAGACCAATGGAACAGAGCAGAACCCTCAGAAATAACACCACATATCTACAACTATCTGATCTTTGAAAAACCTGAGAAAAAAAGCAATGGAGAAAGGATTCCCTATTTAATAAATGATGCTGGGAAAGCTGGCTAGCCATATGTAGAAAGTTGAAACTGGATCCCTTCCTTACACCTTATACAAAAATTAATTCAAGATGGATTAAAGACTTAAACCTTCGACCTAAAACCATAAAAACCCTAGAAGAAAACCTAGGCATTACCATTCAGGACATAGACATGGACAAGGACTTCATGTCTAAAACACCAAAAGCAATGGCAACAAAAGCCAAAGTTGACAAATGGGATCTAATTAAACTAAAGAGCTTCTGCACAGCAAAATAAACTACCATCAGAGTGATCAGGCAACCTACAAAATGGGAGAAAATTTTCGCAACCTACTCATCTGACAAAGGGCTAATATCCAGAATCTACAATGAACTCAAACAAATTTACAAGAAAAAAAACAAACAACCCCATCAAAAAGTGGGCGAAAGACATGAACAGACACTTCTCAAAATAAGACATTTATGCAGCCAAAAAACACATGAAAAAATGCTCATCATCACTGGCCATCAGAGAAATGCAAGTCAAAACCACAATGAGATACCATCTCATACCAGTTAGAATGGCAATCACTAAAAAGTCAGGAAACAACAGGTGCTGGAGAGGATGTGGAGAAATAGGAACACTTTTACACTGTTGGTGGGACTGTAAACTAGTTAAACCACTGTGGAAGTCAGTGTGGTGATTCCTCCGGGATCTAGAACTAGAAATACCATTTGACCCAGCCATCCCATTACTGGGTATATACCCAAAGGACTATAAATCATGCTGCTATAAAGACACATGCACACGTATGTTTATTGCGGCATTATTCACAATAGCAAAGACTTGGAACCAATCCAAATGTCCAACAATGATAGACTGGATTAAGAAAATGTGGCACATATACACCATGGAATACTATGCAGCCATAAAAAATGGTGAGTTCATGTCCTTTGTAGGGACATGGGTGAAATCGGAAATCATCATTCTCAGTAAACTATCGCAAGAACAAAAAACCAAACACCACATATTCTCACTCATAGGTGGGAATTGAACAATGAGAACACATGGACAGAGGAAAGGGAACATCACATTCTGGGGACTGTTGTGGGTTAGGGGGAGGGGGGAGGGATAGCATTGGGAGATATACCTAATGCTAGAGGATGAGTTAGTGGGTGCAGCGCACCAGCATGACACATGTATACATATGTAACTAACCTGTATATTGTGCACATGTACCCTAAAACTTAAAGTATAATAATAATAATAATAATAATAATAATAATAAATATAATCAGGGCAAAACAAAAAAAAAAAAAAGGAAAACAGTGGCTCCAAACTGCTCCATAAAAAAAATAGTACAACTCTGTGAGATGAATGCACACATCCCAAAGCAGTTTCTCAGAAACTCTCTTTCCAGTATGTATCAGAAGATATTTCCTTTTTCAACATAAGCCTCAATGCACTTCCAAATATCCCTCTGCAGTTTCCAGAAGAAGAGAGTTTCTGAACTGCTCAATGAAAAGAAACGTTTAAATCTGTGAGGTGAATGCACACATTGCACAGCCATTTCTCAGAAAGCTTCTGTCCAGTTTGTAGCAGAAGATATTTCCTTTTGCCCCACAGGCCTCAAGGCAAATTGAAATATCCCCTCACAGATACTTCAAACACTCTTTTCCAAACTGCTCTATCAAAAGAATGGTTTAACTCTGAGATGAATGCACAGATCACAAAGCAGTTTCTAAGAAAGCTCCTTCCTACTTTTTATGTGAGGATATTTCCTTTTTCACCATAGACCTCAAAACGCTCACAAATATCCATTTGCAGATTCTAGAAAAACAGTGGTTCTAAACTGCTCAATTAAAGGAAAGGTTCAACTCCGTGAGAGGAATGCACACATGATAAAGCAGTTTCTCAAAAAGCATTCTTCGAGTTTTTAGGTGAAGACATTTCCTTTTTGACCATACGCCTGAAACTTTCCAAAATATCGCTTTGCAGATTCTACAAAAACGGTGTTTACAAAATGCTCCATGAAAGGAAAGTTTCAACTCTGTGAGATGAATGCACATATCATGAAGCAGTTTTTCAGAAAGATCCTTGCTTGTTTTTATGTGAGGATATTTCCTTTTCCAACCTAAGACTCAAAGGGCTCCCAAATATCCCTTTGCAGATTCTACAAAAGTAGTGGTTCAAAACTGCTCCCTCAAAAGAATGGTTCAAATCTGTGAGATGAATGCACACATCACAAAGTAGTCTCTCAGAAAGCTTCTGTCTAGTTTGTGTTGGAAGTTATTTCCTTTTCAACTGCAGGCCTCTATGTGAATCCAAATATCCCTTTGCAGATTTTACAAATAATGTGTTTCCAAATTGCTCAATCAAAATAATGGTTCATTTCTGTGAGATAAAAGCACACAGATTACAAAGCAGTTTCTCAGAAACTCTCTTTCTAGTTTATATCGGAAGATATTTCTTTTTTCACCATAGGCCCCAATGCATTCCCAAATATCCCTTTGCAGATTCTAAAAGAAAAGAGTTTCTAAACTGCTCAAAGAAAAGAAATGTTTAACTCTGTTAAATGAATGCACACATCACAAAGCAGTCTGTCAGAAATCTTCTCTATAGTTTGTATCAGAAGATATTTCCTTTTTCCCCATAGCCCTCAAAGCGAATCCAAATACCCTTTCACAGATTCTATAAACACTGTGTTTCCAAACTGCTCTATCAAAATTATCATTCAACTCTGTGAGATGAATGCACACATCTCAAAGCAGTTTCTCAGAAACTGTCTTTCTAGTGTGTATCAGAAAATATTTTCTTTTTCACCATAGGCCTCAATGCTCCCCCAAATATCCCTTTACAGGTTCTAGAAGAACAGAGTTTCCAAACTGCTCAATGAAAAGAAACTTTTAACTCTTTGAGATGAATGCACACATTGCAAAGCAGTCTCTCAGAAAGCTTCTCTGTAGTATGTATCAGAAGATATTTCCTTTTTCCCCATAGGACACAAGGTGAATCCAAATATCCCTTCACAGATTCTACAAACACTGTGTTTCCAAACTGCTCAATCAAAATTATGCTTCAACTCTGTGATATGAATGCACAGATCACAAAGCAGTTTCTAGGAAAGCTCCTTTCTAGTTTTTATGTGAGGATATTTCCTTTTTCACCATAGATCTCAAAGCACTCACAAAAATCTATTTGCAGATTCTAGAAAAACAGTGTTTCCAAACTTCTCAACCAAAAGAATGGTTCAACTCTATGAGAGGAATGCACATATCTTGAAGCAGTTTCTCAGAACGCTTCCTATGATTTTTTTAAGTGAAGATATTTCCTTTTCCTCCATAGGCTTGGAAGCGATCTGAAATATCCCTTTGCAGATTCTACAAAAATGGGGTTTCCAAAGTGTTCCATTAAAAGAAAGTTTTAACTCTGTGAGATGAATGCACACATCACAAAGCATTTTCTCAGGAAGCTTCTTTCTTCTTTTTATGTGAGGATATTTCCTTTTTTACCATAAGACTCAAAGGGCTCCCAAATATCACTTTGAAGAGTCTACAAAAACAGTGGTTCCAAACTGCTCCATCAAAAGAATGGTTCAACACTGTGATATGAATGCACACATCACAAAGTAGTCTCTCAGAAAGCTTCTCTCTAGTTTGTATCAGAAGACATTTCCTTTTTCACCACAGGCCTCCATGTGAATCCAAATATCCCTTTGCAGGTTCTACAATCACTGTGTTTCCAAGCTGCTCAGTCAAAAGAATTGTTCAACTCTGTGAAATGAATGCATATATCAAAAAGCAGTTTCTCAGAAACTCTCTTCCTAGTTTCTATCAGATGATATTTCCTTTTTTGCCAGAGGCTTCAGTGCACTCCCAAATATCCCTTTGAAGATTCTAGAAGAACTGAGTTTCCAAACTGCTCAATTAAAAGAAATGTTTAACTCTGTGAGATGAATGCACACATTACAAAGCATTCTTTCTGAAGGATTCTGTCTAGTTTGTATCAGAAAGTATTTCCTTTCTGACTACAAGCCTCCATGGGAAATGAAATATCCCTTCGCAGATTCTACAAACACTGTGTTTCCAAACTGCTCAATCAAAAGAATGGTTTAAGTCTGTGAGATGAACACACAGATCACAAAGCAATTTCTAAGAAAGCTCCGTTCTAGTTTTTATGTGAGTATATTTCCTTTTACACCATAAACCTTAAATTGCTCCCAAATGTCCCTTTGCAGTTTTTGGAAGAACAGAGTTTCCAAACTGCTCAATGAAAAGAAAAGTTTAACTCTGTGATATGAATGCACACATCACAAAGCAGTCTCTCAGACTGTTTCAGTCTAGTTTGTATCAGAAGATATTTACTTTTTCTGCATAGTCATCAAGGTGAATCCAAATATCCCTTCGCAGATACTTCAAACACTGTGTTTCCAAACTGATCAATCAACAGAATGGTTTAACTCTGTGAGATGAACACACAGAACACAAAGTAGTCTCTAAGAAAGCTCCTTTCCAGTTTTAATGTGAGGATTTATCCTTTTTCACCATAGACCTCAAAGCGCTCACAAATAACCCTCTGCAGATTCTAGAAAAACAATGGTTCTACACTGCTAAGTCAAAAGAATGGTTCAACTTTGTGAGAGGAATGCACGCATCATGAAGCAGTTTCTCAGAAAGCTTCCTTCGAGTTTTTAGGTGAAGATATTTCCTTTTTCACCAGAGGCCAGAAAGCGCTCTGAAAAATCCCTTTGCAGATTCTGCAAAAACGGTGTTTCCAAAATGCTCCATCAACAGAAAGTTTTAATTCTGTGAGATGAATGCATATATCACAAAGCAGTTTCTCAGAAAGCTGCTTTCTAGTTTTTATAGGAGGATATTTCCTTTTTCACCATAAGACTCAATGGGCTCCCAATTATCCCTTTGCAGAATCTACAAAAACAGTGGTTCCAAAATGCTACATCAAACGAATAGTTCAACTCTGTGAGATGAATGCACACACCACAAAGCAGTTTCTCAGAAACTCTCTTTCTAGTTTGCATAATAAGATATTTCCTTTTTCACCATAGGCCTCAATGGGCTCCCAAATATCCTTTTGCAGATTCTAGAAGAAGAAGTGCTTCCACACTGCTAATGAAAGAAACTTTGAACTCTCTGGATGAATGCACACATTACAAAGCATTCTCTCAGAAAGCTTCCATGTAGTTTATATTGGAAGATATTTACTTTTACAAAACAGGTCTTCATGTGAATCCAAATATCCCATTGCGGATTCTTAAAACGCTGTGTTTCCAAACTGCTCAATCAAAAGAATGGCTCAACTCTGTGAGAACAATGCCCACATCACAAAGCAGTGTCTCAGAATGCTTTCTTTGAGTTTTTAGGTGAAGATATTTCCTTTTTCAGCATAGGCCTGAAAGCACTCTGAAATATCCCTAGGCAGATACTACAAAAACGGTGTTTTCAAGATGCTCCATCAAAAGAAAGTTTTAACTCTGGGAGATAAATGCACATATCACAAAGCAGTTTCTCAGAAATCTCTTTTCTAGTTTTTATGTCAGGGTATTTCCTTTTTCACCATGAGACTCAAAGGGCTCCCAACATCCGTTTGCAGATTCTACAAAAACTGGTTCCAAACTGCTACATCAAAGAATGGTTCAACTCTGTGAGATGAATGCACACGTCACAAAGCAGTCTCTCAGAAAGTTAATGTCTAGTTTGTATCAGAATATATTCCCTTTATCACCACAGGCCTCCATGTGAATCCAAATATGCCTTCACAGATTCTACCAACACTGTGTTTCCACACTGCTTAGTGAAAAGAAACTTTTACCTCTGTGAGATGAACGCACACATCTCAAAGCAGATTCTCAGAAAGCTTCTTTTTAGCTTTTATGTGAAGACATTTTCTTTTTCACTTTAGGCCTCAATGTGCTCCCAAATATCCCTTTGCAGATTCTAGAAGAACAGAGTTTCCAAACTGCTCAATGAAAAGAAGCATTTAACTCTGTGGGATAAATAGCAAAGCAGTCTCTCAGAAAGCTTCTGTTTTGTATCAGATGATATTTCCTTTTTCCTCTTAGGCCTCAAGGTGAATCCAAATATCCCTTTGCAGATTCTTCAAACACTGTGTTTCCAAAATGCTCAATTTAAAGAATCATTTAACTCTGTGAGATAAACTCACAGATCACAAAGCAGTTTCTAAGAAAGCTCCTTTCTAGTTTTTATGTGAGGAGATTTCCTTTTTCACCATAGACCTCAAAACACAAATATCCATTTGCAGATTCTAGAAAAACAGAGGGTATAAACTGCTCAATCAAAAGAATGGTTCAACCCTTTGAGAGGATTGCACACATTACAGAGCAGTTTCTCAGAAAACTTCTTTCAACTTTTTAGGTGTAGATATTTCCTTTTTCAACATAGGCCAGAAAGTGCCCAGTAATATCCCTTTGCTGATACTACAAAAAAGGTGTTTCGAAATTGCTCCATCAAAAGAAAGTTTTAAATCTTTGAGATGAAGGCACATATCATAAAGAAGTTTATCAGCAAGGTCCTTTCAAGTTTTTATGTGAGTATATTTCCTTTCTCACCATAAGACTCAAAGGGCTCTAAAATATAGCTTTGCAGATTCTACAAAAACAGACTGCTCCATCAAAGAATGGTTCAACTCTGTGAGATGAATGCACACATCACAAAGCAGTCTCTCAGAAATCTTGTGTCTAGTTTGTTTCAGAAGATATTTCCTTTTTCACCACTGGCCTCCATGCGAATCAAAATATCCCTTCAAAGATTCTACAAACACTGTGTTTCCAAACTGCTCAACCAAAAGAATGGTTCAACTCCTTGAGATGAATGCACACATACAAAGCAGTTCCTCAGAAACTCTCTTTCTAGTTTGTATCAGAAGATATTTCCTTTTTCACCATAGGCCTCAATGCGCTCCCAAATATCCCTTTGGAGATTCTGGAATAACAGAGTTTACAAACTGCTCAATGAAAAGAAACATTTAACTCTGTTGGATGAATGCACATTTTACAAAGCATTCTCTTAGAAAGCTTCTGATTAGCTTGTATCAGAAGATATTTCCTTTTTCACTACAGGCCTCCATGGGAATCCAAATATCCCTTCACATATTCTACAAACACTGTATTTCCAAACTGCTTAACCAAAACAATGGTTCAACTCCTTGAGATGAATGCACACATCACAAAGCAGTTCCTCAGAAACTCTCTTTCTAGTTTGTATTGGAAGACATTTCCTTTTTCACCATAGGCCTTAATATGCTCCCAAATATCCCTTTGGAGATTCTGGAAGATCAGAGTTTCCAAACTGCTCAATGAAAAAAAAAAGTTTAACTCTGTGGGATGAATGTACACATTACAAAACATTCTCTTAGAAAGCTTCAGTCTAGCTTGTATTGGAAGATATTTCCTTTTTAAACACAGGTCTCCATGCAAATCCAAATATCCCTTTGCATATTCTACAAACACTCTGTTTCCAAACTGCTCAAATCAAAAGAATTGTTCAACTTTGTGATGTAAATGCACACACCACAAAGCAGTTTCTCAGAAAATCTGTTTCTAGTTTGTATCGGAAGATATTTCCTTTTTCACCATAGGCCTCAATGCACTAACAAATAGCCCTTTGCAGATTCTAGAAGAGTTTACAAAATGCTCAATAAAAAGAAATGTTTAACTCCGTGTGACGAATGCACACATCACAAAGTCATCTCTCAGAAAGTTTCTGTCTAGTTTGTATCAGAAGGTATTTCCTTTTTCCTTATAGGCCTCAAGGTGAATACAAATATCCCTTTGCAGATCCTTCAAACACTGTGTTTCCAAACTGCTCAATCAAAAGAATGGTTGAATTCTGTGAGATAAATGCATAGATAACAAAGAAGTTTCTAAGAAAGCTCCTTTCTAGTTTTTATGTGAGGATATTTCCTTTTTCACCAGAGACCTCAAAGTGCTTACAAATATCCCTTTGCAGATTCTAGGAAAACAGTGGTTCCAAACTGCTCAGTCAAAAGAATGGTTCAATTCTGTGAGAGGAATGCACACATCATGAAGCAGTTTCTCAGAAAGTTTCAGTCGAGTTTTTAGTTGAAGATACTTCCTTTTTCACCACGGGCCTGAAAGCGCTTGGAAATATCCATTTGCAGATTCTACAAAAACGGTGTTTCCAAAATATTCCATCAAAAGAAAGTTTTAACTCTGTGAGATGAATACACATATCACAAAGAAGTTTCTCAGAAATCTCCTTTCTAATTTTCATGTGAGCGTATTTCCTTTCCCACCATAAGACTCAAAGGGCTCCCAAATATCCCTTTGCAGATTCTAAAAAAAAGTGGTTCCAAACGGCTCCATCAAAAGAATGGTCAAACTCTGTGAGATGAATGCACACATTACAAAGCATTCTCTCAGAAAGCATCCTTCTAGTTTTTATGTGAAGATATTTCCTTTTCCACCATAGACTTCAAAGCACTCATAAATATCTGTTTGTGTATTCTACAAAAAGACTGTTTCCAAACTGCTCAATCAAAAAGATGGTTCAACTCTGTGAGACGAATGCACACACCAAAAAGAAGTTTCTCAGAGTGCTTCTGTATAGTTTTTATGCGAAGATATTTCCTTTTTAACCATAGGCCTCAAAGTTCTCCAAAATATCCCTTTGCAGATTCTACAAGAACAGAGTTTCCGTCTCCCTCTCCCTCTCCCTCTCCCTCTCCCTCTCCCTCTCCCTCTCCGTCTCCACGGTCTCCCTCTCATGCGGAGCCGAAGCTGGACTGTACTGCTGCCATCTCGGCTCACTGCAACCTCCCTGCCTGATTCTCCTGCCTCAGTCTGCCGAATGCCTGCGATTGCAGGCATGCGCCGCGACGCCTGACTGGTTTTGGTGGAGACGGGGTTTCGCTGTGTTGGCCGGGCCGGTCTCCAGCCCCTAACCGCGAGTGATCCGCCAACCTCGGCCTCCCGAGGTGCCAGGATTGCAGACGGAGTCTCGTTCACTCAGTGCTCAATGGTGCCCAGGCTGGAGTGCAGTGGCGTGATCTTGGCTCACTACAACCTACACCTCCCAGCCGCCTGCCTTGGCCTCCCAAAGTGCCGAGATTGCAGCCTCTGCCCGGCCGCCACCCCGTCTGGGAAGTGAGGAGTGTCTCTGCCTGGCCGCCCATCATCTGGGATGTGAGGAGCCCCTCTGCCTGGCTGCCCAGTCTGGAAAGTGAGGAGCGTCTCCGCCCGGCCGCCATCCCATCTAGGAAGTGAGGAGCGCCTCTTCCCAGCCGCCATCACATCTAGGAAGTGAGGAGCGTCTCTGCCCGGCCGCCCATCGTCTGAGATGTGGGGAGCGCCTCTGCCCCGCCGCCCCATCTGGGATGTGAGGAGCGCCTCAGCCCGGCCGAGACCCCGTCTGGGAGGTGAGGAGCGTCTCTGCCCGGCCGCCCCGTCTGAGAAGTGAGGAGACCCTCTGCCTGGCAACCACCCCGTCTGAGAAGTGAGGAGCCCCTCCGCCCGGCAGCTGCCCCATCTGAGAAGTGAGGAGCCTCTCCGCCCAGCAGCCACCCCATCTGGGAAGTGAGGAGCGTCTCCGCCCGGCAGCCACCCTGTCCGGGAGGGAGGTGGGGGGGGTCAGCCCCCCGCCCGGCCAGCCGCCCCATCCGGGAGGGAGGTGGGCGGTCAGCCCCCCCGCCCGGCCAGCCGTGCCGTCCGGGAGGGAGGTGGGGGGGTCAGCCCCCCGCCCGGCCAGCCGCCCCGTCCGGGAGGTGAGGGGCGCCTCTGCCCGGCCGCCCCTACTGGGAAGTGAGGAGCCCATTGGCCCGGCCAGCCGCCCCGTCCGGGAGGGAGATGGGGGGGTCAGCCCCCCCACCCGGCCAGCCACCCCGTCCGGGAGGGAGATGGGGGGTCAGCCCCACCGCCTGGCCAGCCGCCCCGTCCGGGAGGGAGGTGGGGGGGTCAGCCCTCCGCCCGGCCAGCCGCCCCGTCTGGGAGGTGAGGGGCGCCTCTGCCCGGCCGCCCCTACTGGGAAGTGAGGAGCCCCTCAGCCCGGCCAGCCGCCCGGTCCGGGAGGGAGTTGGGGGTGTCAGCCCCCCGCCCGGCCAGTCGCCCCGTCCGGGAGGGAGGTGGGGGTTCAGCCCCCCGCCCGGCCAGCCGCCCCGTCCGGGAGGGAGGTGGGGGGGGTCAGCCCCCCCGCCCGGCCAGCCGCCCCGTCCGGGAGGTGAGGGGCGCCTCTGCCCGGCCGCCCCTACTGGGAAGTGAGGAGCCCCTCTGCCCGACCAGCCGCCCCGTCCGGGAGGGAGGTGGGGGTTCAGCCCCCCGCCCGGCCAGCCGCCCCGTCCGGGAGGTGAGGGGCGCCTCTGCCAGGCCACCCCTACTGGGAGGTGAGGAGCCCCTCTGCCTGGCCACCACCCCGTCTGGGAGGTGTGCCCAACAGCTCATTGAGAACGGGCCAGGATGACAATGGCGGCTTTGTGGAATAGAAAGGCGGGAAAGGTGGGGAAAAGATTGAGAAATCGGATGGTTGCCGTGTCTGTGTAGAAAGAAGTAGACATGGGAGACTTTTCATTTTGTTCTGCACTAAGAAAAATTCCTCTGCCTTGGGATCCTTACCCCCAACCCTGTGCTCTCTGAAACATGTGCTGTGTCCACTCAGGGTTAAATGGATTAAGGGCGGTGCAAGATGTGCTTTGTTAAACAGATGCTTGAAGGCAGCATGCTCGTTAAGAGTCATCACCACTCCCTAATCTCAAGTAATCAGGGACACAAACACTGCGGAAGGCCGCAGGGTCCTCTGCCTAGGAAAACCAGAGACCTTTGTTCACTTGTTTATCTGCTGACCTTCCCTCCACTATTGTCCCATGACCCTGCCAAATCCCCCTCTGTGAGAAACAGCCAAGAATTATCAATAAAAAAATAAATTAAAAAAAAAAAAAAAAAGAACAGAGTTTCCAAACTGCTCAATCAAAAGAAATGTTTAACTCTGTGAGATGAATGCACACATCACAAAACAGTTTCTCAGAAAGCTTCTTTCTAGGTTTCATATGAAGATATTTCCTTTCTCACCATAGGCCTCAAAGTGCTCCAAAATATACCTTTGTAGATTCTACAAAAAGACTGTTTCCAAACTTCTCAAACAAAAGAACTGTTCGGCACTGTCAGAGGAATGCACACATCACAAATAAGTTCCTCAGAAACTTTCTGTCTAGTTTTTATGTGAAGATATTTCCTTTTTCACACTTGGATTCAAAGTGCTGACAAATATTGCTTTGCAGATCCCAGAGGAACAAAGATTCCAAACAGCTTAATGAAAAGAAACGTTTACATCTATGAGATGAATGCAAACATTACAAAGCATTTTCTCAGAAAGATTGTGTGTAGTTTTTATGTGAAGACATTTCCTTTTTCATCATAAGCCTCTAAGGGCTTCCAAATATCCCTTTGTAGATCTTACAAAAAGACGATTTCCAAACTGCTCAGTCAAAAGAATGGTTCAACTCTATGAGATGAATGCACATGTCATGAAGAAGTTTCTCAGAAAGTTTCTGCCTAGTTTTCATGTGAAGATATTTACTTTTCACCTTAGGCCTCAAAGTGCTCAAAACTACCCCTCTGCAGCTTCTAGAAGAAAAAAATTTCCAAACTGTTCCAAGAAAATAAACGTTTACTTAAGCGAGATGAATGCACAGATCACAAATAAGTTTCTCAGAACACTTCTTTCTACTTTTTATGTGAAGATATTTCCTTTTTCACCATAGGCTCAAAGTGCTCACAATTATCCCTTTGCAGATTCTACAAAATAGGGTTTCCAAAATGCTCAATCAAAAGAATGGTTCAACCCTGTGAGATGAATGCACACATCACAAAGAAGTTTTCAGTAAGTTTCTTTCTACTTTTATGTGAAGACATTTACTTTTTCACCATAGGCCTGAAAGTGCTCATAAATATCCCTTTGCAGATTCTAGAAAAACAGAGTTTCCAAGCTGCTCAATAAAAATAAAACTTTACCTCTGTGAGATGAATGTCCATATCACAAACTAGTTTCTCAGAAAGCTTCTTTCTAATTTTTAAGAGAGGATACTTCCTTTTTCACCATAGGCCTCAAAGTGCTCCCAAATATTCCTTTGTAGATTCTACAAAAAGTCTGTTTCCAAACTGCTCAAATGAAAGAATGGTTCAACTCTGCCAAATAAATGCACACATCACATTGAAGATTCTCAGACAGCTTCTGTCTAGTTTTTATGTGAAGATATTTCCTAAATCACCATAGGAATCAAAGCACTCACAAACATCCCTTTGAAGATGCTAGAACAACAGATTTTTCCAAACTGCTCATTGAAAAGAAACGTTTACCTCTGTCAGATGAATGCACAGGTCACAAAGCAGTTTCTGAGAAAGCTTCTTTCCAGTTTTTATGTGAAGATATTTGCTTTTTCACCATAGGCCTCAAAGCACTCACCAGTATAATTTTGCCATTTCTAAAAAAGACTGTTTCCAAACTGTTCAATCAGAAAATGGTTCACCTCTGTGAGATGAATGCACTCATCACAAATAAGTTTCTCAGAAAGCTTCTGTCTAGTTTTTACATCACGATACTTCCTTTTCACCATAGCCATCAAAGCACTCACAAATATCTCTTTGCAGACTCTAGAAGAACACAGATTCCAAACTAATAAATGAAAAGAAACGTTCAACTTTTTCAGATGAATGCACACATCACAAAGTAGTTTCTCAGAAAGCTTCCCTCTAGTTTTAATGAGAAGATATTTCCTTTTTAACTATACGCCTCAACACACTCCCAAATATCCATGTGCAGATTCTTCAAAAAGACTGTTTCCATACTAGTCAATCAATACAATGGTTCAAATCTGTGAGATGAATGCACGCATCACAAAGAAGTTTATCAGAAAGCTTCTGTCTAGTTCTTATGTGAAGATATTTCTTATTGAACCTTAGGTCTCAAAGAGCTAACAGATATCCCTTTGTAGATTTTAGAAGAACAGAGTTTCCAAATGGCTAAATGAAAAGTTGACCTGTGTTAGATGAATGCACTCCTCAGAAAACAGTTTATCAGAAAGCTTCTTTCTAGTTTTTATGTGAAGATATTTCCTTTTTCACTGTAGGCCTTAACCCACTCCCAAATATACCTTTACAGATTCTACAAAAAGACTCTTTCCAAACTGCTCAATAGAAAGAATGATTCAGCTCTGTGAGAAGAATTCACACCTCACAAAAAAAGTTTTTCAGGAAGCTTCTGTCTAGTTTTTATGTAAAGTATTCCTTTTTTTCACCATAGGTCTCAAAGTGCTCACAAATATCCTTTTTCAGAGTCTAGAGGAACAGAGTTTCCAAACTGCTAACTGATAAGAAAAGTTTACCTCTGAGATGAATGCAGTCATCAAAAAGAAGTTTCTCTGAAAGCGTCTTTCTAGTTATTATGTGAATATATTTCCTTTTTCACCATAGGCCCCAGTGCACTCTTGAATATGCCTTTGCAGATTCAACAAAAAGACTGTTTCCAAACTGCTATATCAAAATAATGGTTCAACTCTGTGAGATGAATGCACACATCAGAAAGAAGTTTCCCAGAAAGCTTCTGTCTGGTTTTTATGTGAAGATATTAACTTTTCACAACAGGCCCCAACATGCTCCCAAAAATCCATTTTCAGACTCTAGGACAACAGTTTCCAAACTGCTCAATTAAAAGAAACCATTACATCTATGAGATGAATGCATGCATCACACAGCAGTTTCTCAGAAAGTTTCTTTCTAGTTTTTTTGTGAAGATATTACCTTTTTCAGCTTAGGTCTGAAAGAGCTCCCAATATCTCCTTGCAGATTGTACAAAAAGACTGTTTCCAAAATACTCAATCACGGAATGGTTTCAACTCTGTGAGATGAAAGGACTCATCACAAAGAAGTTCCACAGAAAGCTTCTGTGTAATTTTTATGTGAATATATTTCCTGTTTCACCATTGGATTCAACATGCTCCCATATATCCCTTTGCAGATACTACAAACAGCCTGTTTCAAAACTCCCCTGTCAAAAATATGTTTCAATTCAGTGAGATGAAAGCCCAAATCACAAAGAAGGTTCTCTGATTCTTCTTTCTAGTTTTCATGTGAAGATATTTCCTTTTCCACCATAAACCTCAAAGCACTCCCAAATATCCCTTCACAGATTCTACAAAAAGATTGTTTCCAAACTGGTCAATCTAAAGAATGGTTCAATTCTGTGAGATGAATGCACACATCCCAAAGAAGTTTCTCAGAAAGCTTCTGTCTAGTTTTTATGTGAAGATATTTCTTTTTTTGCCACCGGCCTAAAAGTGCTCAAAAATATCCCTTTGGAGATCCTAGAAGAACAGAGTTTCCAAACTGCTCAATGAAAAGAAACGTTTACCTTGGTGAGATGAATGTACACATCACACAGTAGTTTCTCATAAAGCTTCTTTCTCCTTTTCATGTGAAGATATTTCCTTTTTCACTGTAGTCCTCAAAGCACTCACAAATATCCCTTTTCAGATTCTACAAAAAGACTGTTTCCAAACTGCTCAATCAAAAGAATGGTTCAACTCTGTGAGATGAGTCCACACATCACAAAGGAGTTTCTCAGAAAGCTTTTGTCTAGTTTCTATGTGATGATATTTCCTTTTTCACTATAGGCCTCAAAGCACTCCAAAATATCCTTTTGCAAGTTCTAGAAGAACAGACTTTCCAAACTGCTCAATGAAAAGAAACTTTTACTTCTCTGAAAAGAAACTTTTACTTCTCTGAGATGAATGCACACATCACAAAGTAGTTTCTCAGAAAGATTCTTTCTAGTTTTTATTTGAAGATATTTCCTTTTTTAGCGTAGGCCTCAATGTGCTCACAAATATCCCTTTGCAGATTCTTGAAGAACAGAGTTTACAAACTGCTCAATGAAAAGAAACGTTTACCTCTGTGAGATGAATGCACGCATCAGAACGCACTTTCTCAGAAAGCTTCTTTCTAGTTTTTATGTGAGGATATTTCATTTTTCACCATAGGCCTCAACAAGCTCCAAAATATCCCTTTGTGGAATCTACAAAAAGACTTTTTCCAAACTGCTCAATCAAAACTATGGTTCAACTCTCTGAGATGAATGCACACATCACAGAGAAGATTTTCAGAATGCTTCTGTCCAGTTTTTATGTGAAGATATTTCTTATTCCACCATAGGCCTCAAAGCACTCCCTAATCTCCGTTTGCAGAAAGTGCTCGATCTAAAGAATGTTTGAACTCTGTGAGATGAATGCACACATTAAAAAGAAGTTTTTGGCCAGGTGCAGTGGCTCATGTCTGTAAACCAAGCACTTTGGGAGGCCATGGCGGATGGATCATGAGGTCAGGTGATCAAGACCATCCTCGCTAACACAGTTAAACCCCATCTCTAGTAAAAACACAAAAAATTAGCTAGGCATGGTGGTGGGTGTCTGTAGTCCCAGCTACTCGGGAGGCTGAGGAAGGAGAATGGCATGAACCTGGGAGGCAGAGCTTGCAGTGAGCCGAGATTGTGCCACTGCAATCCAGTCTGGAGAATAGAGTAAGTCTCCATCTCAAAAAAAAAAAAAAAAAAGTTTCTCCAAAAGCTTTTGTGTAGTTTTTGTGTGAATATATTTCCCTTTTTGCCGTAGGCATCAAAGCACTCACAAATATCCCTTTGGAGATTCTAGAAGAACAGAGTTTCCAAACTGCTCAATGAAGAGAAAATTTACCTATGTGAGATAAATGCACAGTTTCTCAGAAAGATTCCTTTTAGTTTTTTTGTGAAGATATTTCCTTTTTCACCTTAGGCCTCAATGCACTCCCGAATATCCCTTTGCAGATTCCACAGAAAGACAGTTTCCAAACTGCTCAATCAAAGTGATGGTTCAACTCTTTGAGATGACTGCACACATCACAAACAAGTTTCTCAGAAAGCTTCTGTCTAGTTTCTATGTGATGATATTTCCTTTTTCACCATAGGCCTCAAAGCACTAACAAATATGCCTTTGCAGATTCTAAAAAAAGACTGTTTCCAACCTGCTCAGTCAAAAGAATGGTTCAACTCTGTGAGATGAATGCACACATCACAAAGCAGTTTCTCAGAAAGCTTCTTTCTAGTTTTTATGTAAAGATATTTCCTTTTTAACCATAGGTCTTAAAGTGCTCCCAAATATCCCTTTGCAGATTCTACAAAAAGATTGTTTCCAAACTGGTCCACCTAAAGAATGGCTCAACTCTGGGAGATGAATGCACACATCACAAAGAAGTTTCTCAGAAAGTTTCTGTCTAGTTCTTAAGTGAAGATATTTACTTTTCCACAATAGGCCTCAAAGGACTCAGATATATCCCTTTGCTGATTCCAGAAGAAGAGTTTCCAACAGCTCAATGAAAAGATTCGTTTACCTCTGTGAGATGAATGCACACATCACTAAGCAGTTGCTCAGAAAACTTCTTTCTAGTTGTTATGTGAAGATATTTCCTTTATCACCATAAGCCACAACGTGCTCCCAATTATCCGCTTGCATATTCTACAAAAGGACTGCTTCCAAACTGCTCAATCAAAAGAATGGTTCAACTCTTTGAGATAAATGCACACTTCACAAAGCAGTTTCTCACAAAGCTTCTTTCCATTTTTTATGTGAAGATATTTCCTTTTTCACCATACTCCTCAAGGTGTTCCAAAATATCCCTTTGCAGATTCTCCAAAAATACTGTTTCAAAACTGCTCAATCAAAAGAATTACTCAACTCTGTGAGATGAATGCACACATCACAAAGGAGTTTCTCAGAAAGCTTCTGTCTAGTTTCTATGCGATGATATTTCCTTTTTCACCATAGGCCTCAAAGCACTCCAAAATGTTCCTTTGCAGATTCTAGGAGAACGGAGTTGAGTTTCTAAGCTGCTCAATGAAAATAAACGTTTACCTCTGTAAGATGAATGCACACATCACAAAGCACTTCCTGAGAAAGCTTCTTTCTAGTTTTAATGTGAAGATGTTTCCTTTTTGACCATAGGACTCAAAGCGTTCATAAATATCCCTTTGCAGATTCTTGAAGAACAGAGTTTACAAACTGCTCAATGAAAAGAAATGTTTACCTCTGTGAGATAAATGCAGGCATCAGAAAGGACTTTCTCAGAAAGCTTCTTTCTAGTTTATATGTGAGGATATTTCCTTTTTCACTATAGGCCGCAATGAGCTCCAAAATATACCTTTGTGGAATCTACAAAAAGACTGTTTCCAAACTGCTCAATCAAAAGAGTGGTGCAACTCTTTGAGATGAATGCACATCACAGAGAAGTCTCTCAGAAGCTTCTGTCTAGTGTTTATGTGAAGATATTTCCTTTTTCACCCTAATACTCAAAGGGCTCACATATATCCCTTTACAGATTGTACAATATCAAAGTTTCCAAACTACTCAATGAAAAGAAATTTTTACCTCTGTGAGATGAATGCACACATCACAAAGCAGTTTCTCAGAAAGCTTCTGTCTAGTTTTTATGTGAAGATATTTCCTTTTTCACAATATGCCTCAAAGTGCTCACAAATATCCCTTTGCAGAGTCTACACAAAGACTGTTTCCAAACTGCTCAATCAAAAGAAAGGTTCAACTCTGTGAGATGAATGCAAACATTACAAAAAAGTTTCTCAGAAGCCTTCTGTCTAGTTTTTATGTGAAGATATTTCATTTTTTATCATAGGCCTCAAACCGCTCACAAATATCCCTTTGCAGATTCTACCAAAAACTGTTGGCAAACTGCACAATTAAAAGAAATGTTCAACTCTCTGAGACGAAAGCATACATCACAAAGCAGTTTCTCAGAAATCTTCTTTGTAGTTTTTATGTGAAGATATTTCTTTTTTGACCGTAGGCCTCAAAGCACTCACGTGTATCTCTTTGCAGATTATAGAAAGACAGAGTTTCTAAACTGCTCAATGAAATGAAATGTTTACTTGTGCGAGATGAATGCACAGATCACAAATATGTTATGTTAACATATTTACTTTTCCACCATAGGCCTCAAAGCATTCACGAATATCCCTTTTCACATGCTGGAAGAACATAGTTTCCAAACTGTTCAAAGAAAAGAAACGTTTATCTCTGTGAGATGAATGCACACATCACAAAGCAGTTTCTCAGAGAACTTCTTTCTAGTTTTTATGTGAAGATATTTCCTTTTTCACCGTAGGTCTCAAAGCAGTCAAAAATATCCAATTGCAGAGTCTACAAGAGCAGAGTTTCAAATCTGCTCAATGAAAAGAAACATTTACCACTGTGAGATGAAGGCACACTTGACAAACCAGTTTCTCAGAAACCTTCTATCTAGTTTATATGTGAAGATATTTCCTTTTTCACCCTAGGCCTCAAAGCACGCCAAAATATCCCTTTGAAGATTCTACAAGAACAGAGATTCCAATCTTCTCAATGAAAAGAAATGTTTACCTATGTCAGATGACTGCACCCATCACAAAGCAGGTTCTCAGAAATCTTCTCTTTAGTTTTTATATGTAGATATTTCCTTTTTCACCATAGACCTCAAAGCACTCAAAAATATCCCCTTGCAGATTCTACAAAAAGAAGGTTTCCAAACTGCTCAATGAATAGAAAAATACAACTCTGTGAGATGAATGCACACATCACAAAGCAGGTTCTCAGAAATCTTCTGTCCAGTTTTTTTGTGAAGGTATTTCCTTTTTCACCATAGGCCTGAAAACACTCACAAATATCCCTTTGCAGATTCTAGAAGAACAAAGTTTCCAATCCGCTCAATGAAAGGAAACTTTTACTTCTGTGAGATGAATGCACACATCACAAAGCAGTTTCTCAGAAATGTTCTTTCTAGTTTTTATGTGAAGATATTTCCTTTTTGAACATAGGCTTCAAAGCACTCACAAGTATCCCTTGACAGATTCTACAAAAAGACTCTTTTGAAACTGCTCAATCAAAGAAAAATTTAACTCTGTGAGATGAATGCAAGTATCATAAAGAACTTTCTCAGAAAGTTTCTGTCTAGATTTTATGTGAAGATATTTCCTTTTTCACCATAGACCTCAAAGTGCTCACAAATATCCCTTTGCAGATTCTAAAAAAGAATGTTACAAACTGCTCAATCAAAAGAAAGGTTCAACTCTGTGAGTTGAATGCACACATCACAAAGCAGTTTCTCAGAAAATTTCTGTCTAGATCTTATGTGACGATATTTCCTTTTTGAACATAGGCTTCAAAGCACTCACAAGTCTCCCGTTGTAGATTCTACTAAAAGACTCTTTTGAAACTGCTCAATCAAAGAAAAATTTAACTCTGTGAGATGAATGCACACATCATAAAGAACTTTCTCAGAAAGTTTCTGTCTAATTTTTATGTGAAGATATTTCCTTTTTTACCATAGACCTCAAAGTGCTCACAAATATCCCTTTGCAGATTCTAAAAAAGACTGTTACAAATTGCTCAATCAAAAGAAAGTTTCAACTCTTTGAGGTGAAGGCAGACATCACAAAGAAGCTTCCCAGAAAGCTTCTGTTTTGTTTTTATGTGAAGATATTTCATTTTTCACCATAGGTCTCAAAGCACTCACAAATACACCTTCGCAGATTCTAGAAGAACAGAATTTCCAATCTGCTCAATCAAAAGTAACGTTTAGCTCTGTGAGATGAATGCAATCATCACAAAGCAGTTTCCCATAAACCTTCTGTCTAGTTTTTATGTGAAGATATTTCCTTTTGAAAAATGAAAAGTTTACCTCTGTGAGATGAATCCACACATCACAAAGCAGTTTCTCAGAAACCTTCTGTCTAGTTTTTATGTGAAGATATTTCCTTTTTCACCATAGGCCTCAAAGCACTCACAAATATCCCTTTGCAGATCCTAAAAAACGACAGGTTCCAAATTGATCAATCAAAAGGAATGTTCAACTCTGTGAGATGAATGCACACATCACAAAGAAGTTTCTCAGAATGCTTCTGTCTTGTTTTTATATGAACATATATGCTTTTTCACCATACACCTCAAAGCACTCTCAAATATCCCTTTTCACAATCTACAAGAACAGAGTTTCAATGTGCTCAATGAAAAGAAACATTTACCTCTGTGAAATGAATGCACACATTACATAGGAGTTCCTCAGAAACCTTCTGTCTAGTTTTTAATTGAAGATATTTCCTTTGTCACCATAGCCCTCAAAGCTCTCATTATCCCATTGCAGATTCTACAATAAGACTATTTCCAAACTGCTCAATCAAAAAAAGTTCAACTCCATGAGATGAATGCACACATCACAAAGATGTTTCTCACAAAACTTCTGTCAAGTTTTCAAGTGAAGATATTTCCTTTTTCACCATAGGCCTCAAAGCCCTCACGAATATCCATTTGCAGATTGTACAATAACAGAGTGTCCAATCTGCTCAATGACAACAAACGTTTACCTCTGTGAGATGAATGCACACATCACAAAGAAGTTTCTCAGCAATCTTCTGTCAGGTTTTTATGTGAAGGTATTTCCTTTTTCACCATAGGCCTAGAAGGGCTTATAAGTATCCTTTTGCAGATTACACAGGGAGAGAGTTTCCATTCTGCTCAGCCAAAAGAAAGAAGTTTCTCAGAAATCTTCTTTCTAGTTTTCATGTGAAGATATTTCATTTTTCACCATAGGCCTCAAACAGCTCACATATATCCCTTTGCAGATTACAGAAGAACAGATTTTCGAATCTACTCAATGAAAAGAAACTTTTAACTTGGTTAGATGAATGCAAATATGATAAAGCAGTTTCTCCAAAACATTCTGCCTAGTTTTTATGTGAAGATATTACCTTGTTCACCATATGCCTCAAAAGGCTCAAAAATATTCCTTTGCAGATTCTACAAAAAGACTGTTTCCAATCTGCTCAATCAAAAGAAAGGTTCAAGACAGTGAAATGAATGCACACATAACAAAGACGTTTCTCAGAAAACTTCTGTCTAGTTTTTATGTGAAGATATTTGCTTTTTCACCATAGGCCTCAAAGTGATCTAAAATATCCCCATGCAGATACTACAAGAACACAGTTTCCAATCTGCTCAATGAAAAGAAATGTTACTTCTCTGAGATGAATGAACATATCACAAAGCAGTTTCTCAGAATGCTTCTGTCTAGTTTTTATGGGAAGATATTTCCTTTTTCACCATAGGCCTCAAACCGCTCACAAACATCCCTTTTCAGATTCTACGAAAAGAATGTTTCAAACTGCTCAATCAAAAGAAAGGTTCAACTCTGTGAGATGAATGCACACATCAAAAAGAAGTTTCTCAGAAATTTCTGTCTAGTTTTTATGTGAAGATATTTCCTTTTTGACCATAGACCTCAAACCGATAAAAAATGTCCCCTTCCAGATTCTACAAGAAGACTTCTTCCAAACAGCTCCATCAAAACAAATGGTCGACTCTGTGAGATGAATGCACATAACACAAAAAACTTTCTCAGAAAGCATCTGTCTAATTTTTATGTGAAGATATTTCCTTTTTCACCATTGGCCCCATAGCACCACAAATAACCCTTTGCAGATTCTACACGAGCAGAGTTTATAATCTGCTCAATGAAAATAAATGATTACCTCTGTGAGTTGAATGAACATATCACAAAGCAATTGCTCAGAAACATTCTGTCTAGTTTTTATGTTACGATATTTCCTTTTTGACCACAGGCCTCAAAGGGCTCACAAATATCCCTTTGCAGATTCTACAAGGAGATGGTTTCCAAACTGCTAAATCAATAGAAAGCTTTAACTGTGAGAGATGAATGCACACATGAAAAGAATTTTCTGAGAAAACTTCTTTCCAGTTCTTTTGTGAAGACATTTCGTTTTTCACCATAGGTCTCAATGCACCCTCAAATGTCCCTGTGCAGATTGTACAAAAAGACTGTTTCCAAATTGCTCCATCAAAAGAAACGTTCATCTCTGTGAAATGAATGCACACATCACAAAGAAGTTTATCAGAATGTTTCTATCTAGTTTTTATGTGAAGATATTTCCTTTTCCATGATAGGCCTCAAAGCACTCCAAATATCCACTTGCAGATTCTATAAAGAGTGTTTGAAAACTGCTCAATCAAAAGAAAGGTTCAACTCTGTGAGATGAATGCACACATCACAAAGAAGTTTCTCAGAAAACTTCTGTTTAGTTTTTATGTGAAGATAATTCCTTTTTCACCACAGGCCTGAAACGGCTCACAATTATCCCCTGACAGATTATACAAAAAGACAGTCTCCAAACTGCTCAATCAAACATAAGTTCAACTCTACGAGATGAATGCACACATCACAAAGAAGTTTGTCAGAAATATTCTGTCTAGTATTTATGTGAAGATATTTAATTTTTCACCATAGCCCTCAAACTGCTCACACATATCCCTTTGCAGATTCTACAAGAACAGAGTTTCCAAAATGCTCAATGAAAATAAAAGTTTACCTCTGTGGTGAATGAACACAACATAAAGCACTTTCTCTGAAACCTGTCCAGTTTTTATGTGAAGATATTTCCATTTTCACCATAGGCATCAAACCGCTCACAAATATCCCTTTGCAGATTCTACAAGAACACAGTTTTAATCTGTTCAATGAAAAGAAATGTTTACATCTGTGAAATGAATGCACACATCACAAACTAGTTTCTCAGAAAACTTCTGTCTGGTTTTTATGTGAAGATATTTCTTCTTTCACCATAAGTATGAAAACGATCACAAATATCCCTTTGCAGATTCTACTAAAAGACTGTTTCCAAACTGCTCAATCCAACGAGAGTTTCAACTCTGTGAAATGAAAGCACACATCACAAAGAAGTTTCTCAGAAAGCTTCTGTCTAGTTTTTATGTAAAGATATTAACTTTTTTACCATAAGCCTGAAACAGCTCAAAATATCCCTTTTGCAAATTCTACAATAAGACGGTTAACAAGCTGCTCAGTGAAAAGAAAAATTCTACACTGTGAGATGAATGCACACATAACAAGGAAGTTGCTCAGAAATCTTCTGTCTAGCTTTTATGGGATGATATTTCCTTTTTCTACAGAGGCCTCAAACCACTCACACATATCCCTTTTCAGATTCTACAAAAAGACTGTTTCCCAACTGCTCAATCAAAAGAAAGGTTCAACTTTGTGAGATGAAGGCACACATCACAAAGAAGTTATCAGAAAGCTTCTGTCTAGTTTTTATGGGAAGATATTTCCTTTTTCAACATAGGCCTTAGACGGCTCACAAATATCCCTTTGCAGATTCTACAAGAACAGAGTTTCCAATCTCCTCAGTCAAAAGAAAAAGGTTCACCTCTTTGAGATGAAAGCACACATCACAAAGAAGTTTCTCAGAAAGCTTCTGTCTAGTTTTTATGTGAAGATATTCCCTTTTTCACCAGAGGCCTCTAACTGATCAAACAAATCCCTTTGAAGATTCTACAAGAACAGATTTTACAACCTGCTCAATGGAAAGTAATGCTTACATCTGTGAGATGAATGCATACATCACAAAGCAATTTATCAGAAAACTTCCGTCTAGTTTTTATGTGAAGATATTTCCTTTTTCACTGTAGGCCTCAAACAGCTCACAAATATCCTTTGGCAGATTCTATAGTAAGACTGTTTCCAAACTGTTCAATCAAAAGAAAGTTTGAACACTGTGAGATGAATGCACACATCAGAAATAAGTTTCTCAGAAAGCTTCTATCTAGTTTTTATGGGAAGATATTTCCTTTCCCACCACAGGCCTCAAACCACTCACAAATATCCCTTTACAGATTCTACAAAAAAGACTGTTTCTAAACTGCTAAATCAAAAGAAAAATTCAACTGTGTGATATGAATGCACACATCACACAGAAGTTTTTCATAAAACTTCTGTCTAGTTTTTATGTGAAGATATTTCATTTTTCACCATAGGCCTCAAAGGGCTCAAAAATATCCCTTTGCAGATTCCACAAAAAGACTGTTTCCAAACTGCTCAATCAAAAGTAATGTTAAACTCTGTGAGATGATTCCACACATCACAGAGAACTTTCTCAAAAGTCTTCTGGCTAGTTTTTATGTGAATATATTTCCTTTTTCATCAAAGGCCCAAATGGCTCAAAAATATCCCTTTGAAGATTCAACAAAAAGACTGCTTCCGAACTGCTCAATGAAAAGAAAGATTCTACTCTTTGAGATAAATTCATATACCACAAACAAGTTTCTCAGAATGCTTATGTCCAGTTTTTATGTGAAGATATTTCCTTTTTCACCATGGGCCTCAAAGTGCTCCAAATATCCCTTTGCAGATTCTACAAAAAGACTTTTTCCAAGCTGCTTAATGAAAAGAAAGTTTCAAATCTGAGAGATGAATGCACACATCACAAAGTTGTTTCCCAAATGCTTCTGTCTAGTTTTTATGTGAAGACATTTCCATTTTCACCATGCGACTCAAAGCGCTCCAAATATCCCTTTGCAGATACTACAAAAAGACTGTTTCCAAACTTCTCAATCAAAAGAAAGGTTCAACACTGTGAGATGAAAGGACACATCACAAGGTAGTTTCTCAGAAAGTTTCTGTCTACTATTTATGTGAAGATATTTCATTTTCACCATAGTCCTCAGAGAGCTCACAAATATCCCTTTGCATATTCTACAAAAAGACTGTTTCCAATCAGCTTAATCAAATAAAGGTTCAAATCTGTGGGATGAATGCACACATCACAAAATGCTTCTCAGAAAGTTTGGTCTAGTTTTTATGTGAAGATTTTTCATTTTTCACCACAGGCCTCAAAATGCTCCAAATATACCTTTGTAGATTTTACAAAAAGACTGTATGCAAAGTGCTCAATCAATAGAGAGGTTCAATTCTGTGAGATGAATGCACAAACCACAAAGAAGTTGCTTACAATGCTTCTGTCTAGTTTTTATGTGAAGATCTTTCCTTTTTCACCAAAGGCCTCAAAGTGCTCCAAATATCCCTTTGCAGTTTCTACAAAAAGAATGTTTCCAATCTTATCAATCAAAAGAAAGGTTCAACTCTGTGAGATTAAAGCACACATCAAAAAGACGTTTCTCAGAATGCTTCTGTCTAGTTTTTATATGAAGATATTTCTTCTTTCACCATAGGCCTCAAAGTGCTCCAAATATCCCTTTGCAGTTTCTACAAAAAGACTATTTGCAAACAGCTCAATCAACAGAATGATTCAACTCTGTGAGGTGAAAGCACATATCACAAAGAAGTTTTTCAGAAAGCTTCTGTCTAGTTTTTATGTGAACATATTTCCTTTTTCACCATAAGCCACAAAGTGCTACAAATATCCCATTTCAGATGCTACAAAAAGACTGTTTCCAAACTGCTCAATGAAAAGACAGGTTCAACTCTGTGAGATGAATGCACACATCTCAAAGAAGTTTCTCAGAATGCTTCTTTGTAGTTTTTATGTGAAGATACATCTTTTCTCCACAGGCTTCAAACCACTCACAAATATCCTGCTGCAGATTTTTCAAAAAGACTGTTTCCAAACTGCTCAATCAAAAGAAAGGTTCAAACCTGTGAGATGAAAGCACACATCACAAAGAAGTTTATCACAAATCTTCTCTCTAGCTTTTATGTGAACATATCTCCTTTTTCACCATATGCCTCAAAGGGCTCACAAATATCTCTGTTCGTATTCTACAAAAATACTGTTTCCAATTTGATCAAACAAAAGAAAGTTTGTACTCCGTGAGATGAATGCACACATCACAAAGAAGTTTCTCAGAAATATTCTGTCTAGTTTTTAAGTGAAGATATTTCCTTTTTCAACACAGGCCTCAAAGCACTCCAAATATCCAATTGTATATTCTACAAAAAGACTGTTTACAAACTGCTGAAAGAAATAAAGGTTCAATTATGTGAGATGAAAGACCACATCACAAAGAAGTTTCTCAGAAAGCTTCTGTCTAGTTTTTATGTGAAGATAATTCCTTTTCCACCATAAGCTTCAAAGGTCTCACAAATAACCAATTGCAGATTCTACAAAAAGACTGCTTCCAAACTTCTCAATCAAATGAAACGTTCAAAACTGTGAGGTGAAAGCACACATCAAAAAGAAGTTCCTCAGAAGGCTTCAGTCTAGTATTTATGTGAAGATATTTCCTTTTTCACCATAGGCTTCACACTGCTCACAAATAACCTGCTGCAGATTCCACTAAAAGACTGTCTCCAAACTACTCAATCAAAAGAAAGTTTCAACTCTATGAGACGAAAGCACACATCACAAAGAAGTTTGTCAGAAAGCTTCTGTCTAGTGTTTAAGTAAAGATATTTCCTATTTCACCATAGGCCTCAAAGAGATCCAAATATCCATTTGCATATTCTACAAAAAGACTGTTTCAAAAAAACTGCTCAATCTAAAGAAAGGTTCAACTCTGTGAGATGAAAGCACACATCACAAAGTAGTTTCTCTGAATTCTTCTGTTTAGTTTTTATGTGAAGATATTTCATATTTCACCATAAGTCTCAAAGGACTCACAAATATCCCATTGCAGATACTACAAAAATACTGTTTCCAAAGCACTTAATCAAAAGAAAGTTTCAACACTGTGAGTTGAATGTACACATCATGAAGAAGTTTCTCCGAATGATTCTGTCTAGTATTTATCTGAGGATATTTCTTTTTCACCACAGTCCTCAAACTGCCCAGAAATATCCCTTTGCAGATGGTACAAGAAGACTGTTTCCAAACCGCTCTATCAAAAAAAAGTTCAAACATGTGAGATGAATGCACACATCACAAAGAAGTTCCTCAGAAAGCTTCTGTCTAGGTTTTATATGATGATATTTCCTTTTTCACCATAGACCACAAATCACTCCAAATATCCATTTGCATATTCTACAAAAAGACTGTTTCCAAACTGCTCAATCAAAAGAAAGGTTCATATCTGTGAGATGAATGCACACATCACAAAGAAGTTTATCGGAATTTTTCTGTTTAGCTTTTATTTGAAGATATTTCCTTTTCCAACACAGGCAAGAAACCACTCATGAATATCCCTGTGCAGATTCTACAAAAAGACTGTTTCCAAACTGCTCAATCAAAAGAAAGTTTGAACTCTGTCAGATGAATGCACACATCAAAAAGGAGTTTCTCAGAAAGCTTCTGTCTGGTTTTTATGTGAAGATATTTCCTTTTTCACTGTAGGCCTCATATCCCTGCAAATATGTACTTGCAAATTCTCCAAAAAGACTGTTTACAAACTGCTCAATCAAAAGAAAGGTTCAACTCTGTAAGATGAAAGCACACAACACAAAGAAGTTCCTCAGAAAGCTTCTGTCTAGTTTTTATTTGAAGATATTTCACTTTTCACCATAGGCCTCAAACAGCTCATAAATATCCTGCTGCAGATTCTACAAAAATACTGTTTCCAAACTGCTTAATCAAAAGAAAGTTTCAACACTATGAAATGAGTGCACACATCACAAAGAAGTTTCTCAGAGAGCTTCTGTCTAGTTTTTATGTGAAGATATTTCCTTTTTCACCATAGGCATCAAAGTGCTCCAAATATCCATTTGTAGATTCCACAAAAAGACTGTTTCCAAACTGATAAATCAAAAGAATGGTTCAACTCTGTGAAATGAAAGCACATATCACAAAGAAGTTTCTCAGAAAACTTCAGTCCAGTTTTTATGTGAAGATATTTCCTTTTTCACCACAGGCCTCAAATTTCTCCAAATATCCCTTTGCAGATTCTACAAACATAAATTTTCCAAAGTTCTCAATCAAAAGAAAGGTTTAACTCTGGAGATGCATGCACACATCACAAGGATGTTGCTCAAAATGCTTCTTTCTAGTTTTTATTTGAAGATATTTCCTTTTTCACCATAGGCCTCAAAGCGCTAAAAATATCCACTTGCAAATTCTACAAAAAGACTGTTTTCAAACTGCTCAATGAAAGGAAAGGCTGAATTCTGTGAGATTTAATCACACATCACAAACAAGTTTCTCAGAAAGCTTCTGTCAAGTTTTTATGTGAATATATATCCTTTTTCACCATAGGCCTCCATGGGCTCACAAGTATCCCTTTGCAGATTCTACAAAAAGACTCCTTCTAAATGGCTTAATTAAAATAAAGATTCAATGCTGTGAGACTAATTCACTCATGACAAAGAATTTTCTCAAAAGCCTTTGGACTAGTTTTTATGTGAAGATATTTCCTTTTTCACCGTAGGCCTCAAGTTCCTCCAAATATCCCTTTGCAGATTCTACAAACAGACTGTATCCAAAGTGCTCCATCAAAAGAAAGTTTTAATTCTGTGAGATGAATTCACACATCACAAAAAAGTTGCTCAGAATGTTTCTGTCTAATTTTTAGTGAGGATGTTTCCTGTTTCACCATAGCCCTCAAAGTTCTCACAAGTATCTCTTTGCAGATAGTACACAAAGACTTTCTCAACTGGTCAATCAAAAGAAAGTTTCAACTCTGTGAGATGAATGCACATGTCACAAAGAAGTTTCTCAGAAGGTTTCTGTCTTGTTTCTACTTGAAGATATTTCCTTTTTCTCCATACACCTCAAAGCGCTCCAAATATCCCTTTTCAGATTCTACAAAAAGTCTGTTTCCAAACTGCTGAATTAAAAGAAATGTTCAACTCCATGAGATGAATGCACACATAACAAAGAAGTTTTTCAGAAAGTTTTGGTTCAGTTTTCATTTGAAGGTATGTCATTTTTCACCTTAGGCCTCATACTGATCACAAATATTCATTTGCAGATTCTACAAAAAGACTGTTTCCAACTGCTCAGTCAAAAGAAAGCATAAAGTGTGAGGGAGGAATGCAAACATCATGAAGAAGTTTCTCAGAAGCTTCTGTCTTGTTTTTATGTGAAGATATTTCCTTTTTCACCATAGGCCTAAAAATGCTGCAAATATCCCTTTGCAGATTCTACAAAAAGACTGTTATGAAACTCATCTTTCAAAAGAAAGGTTCAACTCTATGAGATGCAAGCACACCTCACAAAGAACTTTCTCAGAATGCTTTAGGGTAATTTTCATGTGAAGATATTTCCTTTTTAACCATAGGCCTCAAACTTCTCCAAATACCCCTTTACATATTCTACAAAAAGACTGTTTCCAAACTGCTCAATCAAAAGAAAGGTTCACCTCTGTGAGATGAATGCACACATCACAAAGATGTTGCTCAGAATGTTTCTGACTAGTTCTCATGTGAAGATATTTCCTTTCTCACCATATGCCTCAAAGCACTCCAACTATCCCTTTGCAGATTCTGGAAAAAGACTGCTTCCAAACTGCTCAATTAAAGGAAACCTTCAACTCTGTGAGGTGATTTCCCACATCCCAAAGAAGTTTGTCAGAAAGCTTCTGTCTGGTTTTTATGTGAAGATATTTCCTTTTTCACCATAAGCCTCAAACTGCTCAAAATTATCCTTTTGCAGATTCTACAAAAGTACTCTTTCCAAACTGCTCCATCAAAAGAAATGTTGAGCTCTCTGAGATGAATGTGCACATCACAGAGAAGTTTCTCAGAAACCTTCTGTCTAGTTTTTGTGTGAAGACATTTCCTTTTTCACCATGGCCTGAAAGCGCTCCAAACATCCACTTGAAGATTGTACAAAAAGACTTTCCAAACTGCTCAACAAAAGAAAAGTTCAACTCTGTGACATGAAAGCACACATCACAGAGAACTTTCTCAGAAAGCTTCTGTATAGTTTTATGTAAAAATATTACCTTTTTCACCACAGACCTCAAAGGGCTCACAAATATCCCATGCAGATTCTAGAAAAAGACTGTTTCCAAATGGCTTAATCAAAAGAAAGGTTCAACTATGTGAGATTAATGCACTCATCAGAAACGTGTTTCTCATAAAGCTTTGGACTAGTTTTTATGTGAAAGCTTTGGACTAGTTTAATGTTCAAATCTTTGGATGAGTTTAATGTTCAACTCTATGAGATGAATGCACACAACACAAATAAATTCCTCAGAAAGTTTCTGTCTAGTTTTTATGTGAAGATATTTCCTTTTTCACCATATGCCTCAAAGTGCTCCAAGTATCTCATTTCAGATTCTACAGAAAGAGTGTTTCCAATCTGCTCAATCAAAAGAAATGTTCACTTCTGTGAGATGAATGCACACCTCACAAAGCAGTTGCTCAGAAAGCATCTGTCTGGTTTTTATGTGAAGATATTATCTTTTCACCATAAGCCTCAAACCTCTCACAACTATCTGTTTGCAGATTCTACAAAAAGACTGTTTTCAACTGCTCAATCAAAGGAAAGTTTCACCTCTGTGAGATGAATGCACACATCACAAAGAAGTTGCTCACAATGCTTCTGTCTAGTTCTTATGTGAAGATATTTCCTTTTTCACAACAGGCCTCAAAGCACTCCAAATATCCCTTTGCAGATTCCATGAAAAGACTGTTTCCAAACTGCTCAATCAAAAGAAACATTCAACTCTGTGAGATGAATGCACACTAACAAAGAGTTTTCTCAGAAATTTTCTGTCTAGTTTTTAAGTGAAAATATTTCCTTTTTCAACATAGTCTTCAGAGGGCTCACAAATATCCCTTTGCAGATTCTACAAAATAATGTTTCCAAACGACTTAATCAAAAGAAAGATACAACTCTGTGAGATAAATGCACTCATCTCAAATAAGTTTCTCAGAAAGCTTTGGTCTAGTTTTTATCTGAAGATATCTCCTTTCTCACCATAGGCCTCAAATTGCTCCAAATATCCATTTGCAGATTACGCAAAAATACTGTTTCCAAACTGATGAATCAAAAGAATGGTTCAACTCTGTGAGATGAATGCACACATCACAAAGAAGTTTCTCAGAAATCTTCTGTCCAGTTTTTATGTGAAGATATTTCTTTTTCACCATAGGCCTCAAAGTGCACCAAATATACCTTAACAGATTCCAAAAAAGGCTGTTTCCAAACTATTTCCTTTTTCACCATAGGCCTCAAACCACTCACAAATATCCTTTTGCAGATTCTACAAAAAGACCTTTTCCAAACTGCTCAATCAAAAGAATGTTTCAACTCCTTGTGATGAATGCACACATCCCAAAGAAGCTGCTCAAAATGCTCCTGTCTATTTTTTATGTGAACATATTTCCTTTTCACCATAGGCCTCAAAGTTCTCCAAATATTGCTTTGCAGATTCTACAGAAAGACTGTTTCCAAACTGATCTATCAAGAGAATGGTTCAACTCTGTGGGGTGAAATCACACATCATAAAGGAGTTTTTCAGAAAGCTTCTGTGTACTTTTTATGTGAGGATATTTCCTTTTTCACCCTAGGCCTCAAAAGGCTCAAAAATATCCCTTTGCACATTCTACAATAAGACTGTTTCCGAACTTCTCAATGAAACGAAAGTTTCAACTCTCTGTGTTGTATGCCCACATCACAAAGAAGTTGCTCAGAATGCTTCTGTCTAGTTCTTATATGCAGATATTTCCTTTTTCACCATACACCTCAAAACACTCCAAATACCCCTTTGCAGATACTACAAAAAGGCTGTTTCCAAACTCCTCAATCACAAGAAATGCTCAAATCTGTGAGATGAATGCACACATCACAAAGAAGTTTCTCAGAAAGCTTCTGTCTAGTTTTTATTTTATTTTATTTTTATTATACTTTAAGTTTTAGGGTACATGTGCACAATGTGCAGGTTTGTTACATATGCATACATGTGCAATGTTGGTGTGCTGCACCCACTAACCTGTCACTTAGCATTAGGTATATCTCCTAATGCTATCCCTTCCCCCTACCCCCACCCCACAACTGTCCCCAGTGTGAGATGTTCCCCTTCCTGTGTCCATGTGTTCTCATTGTTCAATTCCCACCTATGAGTGAGAACATGAGGTGTTTGGTTTTTTGTCCTTCCGATAGTTTGCTGAGAATGATGGTTTCCAGTTTCATCCATGTCCCTACAAAGGACATGAAATCATTTTTTATGGCTGCATAGTATTCCATGGTGTATATGTGCCACATTTTCTTAATCCACTCTACCATTGCTGGTTCCAAGTCTTTGCTATTGTGAATAGTGCCACAATAAACATACGTGTGCATGTGTCTTTATAGCATCATGATTTATAATCCTTTGGATATCTACCCAGTAATGGGATGGCTGGGTCAAATGGTATTTCCAGTTCTAGATCCCTGAGGAATCGCCACACTGACTTCCACAAGGGTTGAACTAGTTTACAGTCCCACCAACAGTGTAAAATGTTCCTATTTCTCCACATCCTCTCCAGCACCTGTTGTTTCCTGACTTTTTAATGATTGCCATTCTAACTGGTGTGAGATGGTATCTCATTGTGGTTTTGATTTGCATTTCTCTGATGGCCAGTGATGATGAGAATTTTTTTATGTGTCTTTTGACTGCATAACTGTCTTCTTTTGAGAAGTGTCTGTTCATATCCTTCACCCACTTTTTGATGGGGTTGTTTGTTTTTTTCTTGTAAATTTGTTTGCGTTCATTGTAGATTCTGGATATTAGCCCTTTGTCAAATGAGTAGTTTGCAAAAATTTTCTCCCATTTTGTAGGTTGCCTGTTCACTCTGATGGCAGTTTCTTTTGCTGTGCAGAAGCTCTTTAGTTTAATTAGATCCCATTTGTCAATTTTGGCTTTTGTTGCCGTTGCTTTTGATGTTTTAGACATGAAGTCCTTGCCCATGCCTATGTAATGAATGGTATTGCCTAGGTTTTCTTCTAGGGTTTTTATGGTTTTAGGTCGAAGGTTTAAGTCTTTAATCCATCTTGAATTAATTTTTGTATAAGGTGTAAGGAAGGGATCCAGTTTCAGCTTTCTACATATGGCTAGCCAGTTTTCCCAGCACCATTTATTAAATAGGGAATATTTTCCCCATTTGTTGTTTTTGTCAGGTTTGTCAAAGATCAGATAGTTATAGATATGTGGCATTATTTCTGAGGGCTCTATTCTGTTCCATTGGTCTATATCTCTGTTTAGGTACCAGTACCAGACTGTTTTGGTTACTGTAGCCTTATAATATAGTTTGAAGTCAGGCAGCTTGATGCCTTCCGCTTTTTTCTTTAGGGTTAGAATTGACTTGGCATTGTGGACTCTTTTTTAGTTCCATATGAACTTTAAAGTAGTTTTTTCCAATTCTGTGAAGAAAGTCATTGGTAGCTTCATGGGAATGGCATTGAATCTATAAACTACCTTGGGCAGTAGGGCCATTTTCATGATATTGATTCTTCCTATCTATGAGAAAGGAATGTTCTTCCATTTGTTTGTATCCTCTTTTATTTCATTGAGCAGCGGTTTGTAGTTCTCCTTGAAGAGGTCCTTCACATCCCTTGTAAGTTGGAATCCTGGGTATTTTATTCTCTTTGAAGCAATTCTGAATGGGAGTTCACTCATGATTTGGCTCTCTGTTTGTCTGTTATTGGTGTAAAAGAATGCTTGTGAATTTTGTACCTTGATTTTGTATCCTGAGACTTTGCTGAATTTGCTTATCAGCTTAAGGAGATTTTGGGCTGAGACAATGGGTTTTCTAGATATACAATCATGTCATCTGCAAACAAGGACAATTTGACTTCCTCTTTTCCTAATTGAATACCATTTAATTCCTTCTCCTGCCTGATTGCCCTGGCCAGAACTTCCAACACTCTTTTGAATAGGAGTGGTGAGAGAGGGCATCCCTGTCTTGTGCCAGTTTTCAAGGGGAATGCTTCCAGTTTTTGCCCATTCAGTATGATATTGGCTGTGTGTTTGTCATAGATAGCTCCTATTATTTTGAGATACGTCCCATCAATACCTAATTTATTGAGAGTTTTTAGCATGAAGAGTTGTTGAATTTTGTCAAAGGCCTTTTCTGCATCTATTGAGATAATCATGTGGTTTTTGTCTTTGGTTCTGTTTATATGCTGGATTACATTTATTGATTTATGTATGATGAACCAGCCTTGCATCCCAGGGATGAAGCCCACTTGATCATGGTGGATATGCTTTTTGATATCCTGCTGGATTCGGTTTGCCAATATTTTATTGAGGATATTTGCATCAATTTTCATCAAGGTTATTGGTCTAAAATTCTTTTTTTTGGTTGTGTCTCTGCCAGGCTTTGGTATCAGGATGCTGCTCGCCTCAAAAAATGAGTTAGGGAGGATTCCCTCTTTTTCTATTGATTGGAATAGTTTCAGAAAGAATGGTACCAGCTCCTCCTTGTACCTCTGGTAGAATTCGGCTGTGAATCCATCTGGTCCTGGACTTTTTTTGTTTGGTAAGCTATTGATTATTGCCTCAACTTCAGAGCCTGTTATTGGTTTATTCAGAGATTCAACTTCTTCCTGGTTTAGTCTTGGGAGAGTGTATGTGTGGAGGAATTTATCCATTTCTTCAAGATTTTCTAGTTTATTTGCATAGAGGTGTTTATAATATTCTTTGATGGTAGTTTGTATTTCTGTGGGATCAGTGGTGATATCCCCATTATCATTTTTATTGCATCTATTTGATTCTATCATTTTTTATTGCATCTCTTTGATTCTTCTCTCTTTTCTTCTTTATTAGTCTTGCTAGAGGTGTATCAATTTTGTTGATCTTTTCAAAAACCAGCTCCTGGATTCATTAATTTTTTGAAGGGTTTTTTCTGTCTCTGTTTCCTTCAGTTCTGCTCTGATCTTAGTTATTTCTTCTGCTAGCTTTTGAATGTGTTTGCTCTTGCTTTTCTAGTTCTTTTAATTGTGATGTTAGGGTGTCAATTTGAGATCATTCCTGCTTTCTCTTGTGGGCCTTTGGTGCTATAAATTTCCCTGTACACACTGCTTTGAATGTGTCCCAGAGATTCTGGTATGTTGTGTCTTTGTTCTCGTTGGTTTCAAAGAACATCTTTATTTCTGCCTTCATTTCATTATGTACCCAGTAGTCGTTCAGGAGCAGGTTATTCAGTTTCCATGTAGTTGAGAGGTTTTGAGTGAGTTTCTTAATCCTGAGTTCTAGTTTGATTGCACTGTGGTGTGAGAGGCAGTTTGTTATAATTTCTGTTCTTTTACGTTTGCTGAGGAGTGCTTTACTTCCAACTATGTGGTCAATTTTAGAATATGTGTGGTGCTGAAAAGAATGTATATTCCGTTGATTTGGAGTGGAGAGTTCTGTAGATGGCTATTAGGTCCGCTTGCTTTAGAGCTGAGTTCAATTCCTGGGTATCATTGTTAACTTTCTGTCTCGTTGATCTGTCTAATTTGACAGTGGGGTGTTAAGGACTCCCGTTATTATTGTGTGGGAGTCTACATCTCTTTGTAGGTCTCTAAGGACTTGCTTTATGAATCTGGGTGCTCCTGTATTGGGTGCATATATATTTAGGATAGTTAGCTCTTCTTGTTGAATTGATCCCTTTACCATTATGTAATGGCCTTCTTTGTCTCTTTTGATCTTTGTTGGTTTAAAGTCTGTTTTATCAGAGACTAGGATTGCAACCCCTGCCTTTTTCTGTTTTCCATTTGCTTGGTAGATCTTCCTCCATCCCTTTATTTTGAGCCTATGTGTGTCTCTGCACGTGAGATGGGTTTCCTGAATGCACTACACTGACAGGTCTTGACGCTATCCAATTTTCCAGTCTGTGTCTTTTAATTGGAGCATTTAGCCCGTTTACGTTCAAAGTTAATATCGTTTTGTGTGAATTTGATCCTGTCATTATGATGTTAGCTGGTTATTTTGCTCTTTAGTTGATTCAGTTTCTTCCTAGCCTTGATGGTCTTTACAATTTGGCATGTTTTTGCAGTGGCTGGTAGCAGTTGATCCTTTCCATGTTTAGTGCTTCCTTCAGGATCTCTTTTAGGGCAGGCCTGGTGGTGACAAAATCTCTCAGCATTTGTTTGTCTGTAAAGGATTTTATTTCTCCTTCACTTATGAAGCTTAGTTTTGCTGGATATGAAATTCTGTGCTGAAAATTCTTTTCTTTAAGAATGTTGAATATTGGTCCCCACTCTCTTCTGTCTTGTAGAGTTTCTGCTGTGAGATCCACTATTAGTCTGATGGGCTTCCCTTTGTGGGTAACCCGACCTTTCTCTCTGGCTGCCCTTAACATGTTTTCCTTCATTTCAAATTTGGTGAATCTGACAATTATGTATCCTGGAGTTGCTCTTCTCCAGGATTACCTTTGTGGGGTTCTCTGTATTTCCTGAATTTGAATGTTGGCCTGCCTTGCTAGATTAAGGAAATTCCCCTGGATAATATCCTGCAGAGTGTTTTCCAATTTGGTTCTATTCTCCCTGTCACTTTCATGTACACCAATCTGATGTAGATTTGGTCTTTTCACATAGTCCCATATTTCTTGGAAGCTTTTTTCATTTCTTTTTATTCTTTTTTCTCTAAACTTCTCTTCTCACTTCATTTCATTCATTTCATCTTCCATCGCTAATACCTTTTCTTCCAGTTGATTGCACCAGCTACTGAGGCTTCTGCATTTGTCACGTAGTTCTTGTGCCTTGGTTTTCAGCTCCATCAGGTCCTTTAAGGACTTCTATGCATTGGCTATTCTAGTTATCAATTCTTCTAATTTTTTCCAAGTTTTTAACTTCTTTGCCGTTGGTTGGAATCTCCTCCTGTAGCTCAGAGTAGTTTGATCATCTGAAGCCTTCTTCTCTCAACTCATCAGTCATTCTCCATCCAGCTTTTTTCCATTGCTGGTGAGGAGCTGAGCTCCTTTGTAGGAAGAGAAGGGCTATGATTTTTAGAGTTTCCAGTTTTTCTGCTCTGTTTTTTCCCCATCTTTGTCCTTTTATCTACTTTTGGTCTTTGATGATGGTGACGTACAGATGAGTTTTTGGTGTGGATGTCCTTTCTGTTTGTTAGTCTTCCTTCTAACAGACAGGGCCCTCAGCTGCAGGTCTGTTGGAGTTTGCTGGAGGTCCACTCCAGACCCTGTTTGCCTGGGTGTCAGGAGTGGTGGCTGCAGAACAGTGGATATTGGTGAACTGCAAATGCTGCTGCCTGATCTTTCCTCTGTAAGTTTTGTCTCAGAGGAGTACCCGGCCGTGTGAGGTGTCAGTCCACCCTTAACTGGGGGATGCCTCCCAGTTAGGCTACTCAGGGGTCAGGAACCCACTTGAGGAGGCAGTCTGCGCATTCTCAGATCTCAAGCTGTGTGCTGGGAGAACCACTACTCTCTTCAAAGCTGTCAGACAGGGACATTTAAGTCTTCCGAGGTTACTGCTGTCTTTTTGTTTGTCTGTGCCCTGCCCCCAGAGGTGGAGCCTACAGAGGCAGGCAGGCCTTCTTGAGCTGTGGTGGGGTCCTCCCAGTTCGAGTTTCTCGGCTGCTTTGTTTACCGAATCAAGTCTCTGCAATGGTGGGCACACCTCCCGCAGCCTCACTGCCACCTTGTAGTTTGACCTCAGACTGCTGTGCTAGTAGTGAGTGAGACTTCTTGGGTTTAGGACCCTCTAAGACAGGTGCAGGATAGAATCTCCTGGTGTGCCGTTTTTTAAGCCCATTGGGAAGGCACAGTATTAGGGTGGGAGTGACCCGATTTCCAGGTGCCATCTGTCACCCCTTTCTTTGACTAGGAAAGGGAATTCCCTGACCCCTTGCACTTCCTGGGTGAGGCAATGCCTCGCCCTGCTTTGGCTCATGCACGGTGCACTGCACCCAGCATCATGCACCAACTGTCTAGCACACCCCAGTAATATGAACAAGGAAACTGAGATGGAAATGCAGAAATTACCCATCTTCTGCATCACTCATGCTGGGAGCTGTAGACCAGAGCTGTTGCTATTCGGCCATCTTGACTCCTCCCTCTGTGTCTAGTTTTTATGTGAAGGTATTTCCTTTTTCACCATCAGCCTCAAATTGCTCCAAATATGACTTTGCAGATTCTACAAAAACACTGTTTCCAAACTGATCTATCAAAAGAACGTTTCAACTCTGTGAGATGAAAGTACACATCACAAAGGAGTTTGTCAGAAAGTTTCTGTCCAGTTTTTATGTGAAGACATTTTCTTCTTCAGCAAAGGTCTCAAAGGGCTCCCAAATGTCCCTTTGCAGATTCTACAAAAAGACTGTTTCCAAACTGCTTAATTAAAAGGAAGGTTCAAATCTGTGAGATGAATGCACACATCACAAACAAGTTTCTCAGAAAGCTTCGGTCTAGTTTTTATGTGAAGATATTTCCTTTTTCACCATACTCCTCAAAGCGCTCCTAATATCCCATTTCTGATTTTACAAAAAGATTGTTTCCAAACTGCTCTATCAAAAGAAACTTTCAACTCTGTAAGATGAATGCACACATCACAAACTAGTTTGTCACAAAGCTTCTGTCTAGTTTTTATGTGAAGATATTTCCTTTTTCACCATAAGCCTCAAACTGCTCACAACTATCTGTTTGCAGATTCTACAAAAAGACTCTTTCCAAACTGCTCAATCATAAGAAATGTTCAACTCTCTGAGATGAATGGACACATCACAAAGAAGTTTCTCAGAAAGATTCCGTCTTGTTTTAATGTGATGATATTTCATTTTTCACGAAGCTCCTCAAAGCACTCAAAATATACCATTTCATATTCTACAAAAAGTCTGTTTCAAAGCTGCTCAATCAAAAGAAAGGTTCAAATCTGTGAGTTGAATGCAAATTCACAAAGAAGTTTCTCAGAACGCTTCTCTCTAGTTTTTATGTGAAGATATTTCCTTTGGTGAATAGGCCTCAAATTGCTTCAAATATCCCTTTACAAATTATACAAAAAGACTGTTTCCAAACTGCTCAATCAAAAGAAAGTTTCACCTCTGTGAGATGAATGCACACATCACACAAAGTTGCTCAGAATGCTTCTGTCTAGTTGTTATGTGAAGATATTTCCTTTTTCACCTTATGCCTCAAAGCACTCCAAATATCGCATTGCAGATTCTACAAAAAGACTGTTTCCAAACTGCTCAATCAAAGGAAGCATTCAGCTCTGTGAGATGAATGCACACATCACAAAGAAGTTTCTCAGAAAGCTTCTGTCTAGTTTTTATCTGAAGATATATCCTTTTTCACAATAAGCCTCAAATTGCTCCAAATGTCTCTTTACAGATTCTATGAAAAGACTGTTTCCAAGCTGCTCAATAAAAAGAAAGTTTCACGGCTGTGAGATGAATGTGCACATCACAAATAAGTTTCTCAGAAAGCTTCTGACGAGTTTTTATGTGAAGATATTTCTTTTTTCACCGTAGACCTCAAATTGCTCCAAGTATGCCTTTGCAGACTCCACAAAAAGACTGTTTCCAAATGGCTTAATCAAAAGAAAAGTTCATCTTTGTGACATGAATGCACTCATCACAAAGAAGTTTGTCAGAAAGCTTTGGTCTAGTTTTTATGTAAAGATTTATTCTTTTTCACCATAGACCTAAAAGTGCTCCAAATATCCCCAGGCAGATCACACAAACAGACTGTTTCCAAAGTGCTGAATCATGGCCGGGCGCGGTGGCTCACGCCTGTAATCCCAGCACTTTGGGAGGCCGAGGCGGGTGGATCATGAGGTCAGGAGATCGAGACCATCCTGGCTAACAAGGTGAAACCCCGTCTCTACTAAAAATACAAAAAATTAGCCGGGCGCGGTGGCGGGCGCCTGTAGTCCCAGCTACTCGGGAGGCTGAGGCAGGAGAATGGCGTGAACCTGGGAAGCGGAGCTTGCAGTGAGCCGAGATTGTGCCACTGCAGTCCGCAGTGCGGCCTGGGCGACAGAGCGAGACTCCGTCTCAAAAAAAAAAAAAAAAAAAAAAAAAAAGTGCTGAATCAAAAGAAAGGTTCAACTCTGTGAGATGAATGCACACATCACAAAGAAGTTTCTCAGAAAGCTCTGTGTAGTCTTTATGGGAAGATATTTCCTTTTTCAACATAGGCATCAAATTGCTCCAAATATCCCTTTGCAGATTCTTCAAAAAGACGGTTTCCAAACTGCTCAACCAGAAGAAATGTTCAGCTCTGTGAGATGAATGCACATATCACAAAGAAGTTTCTCAGAGAGCTTCTGTCTTCTTTTTATATGAAGATTTTCCCTATTTCACTGTAAGCCTAAAATTGTGGCAAACATCCCTTTGCAGATATTCCAAAAAGACTGTTTCCAAACTGATCAATTGAAAGAATAGTTCAACACTGTGGGATGAAAGTACATATCAAAAAGAAGTTTCTCAGAAAGCTTCTGTTCAGTTTTTATGTGAAGATATTTCCTTTTTTACCATAGGCGACAAAAGGCTCACAAATTTCTGTTTGCAGATTTTACAAAAAGACTCTTTTCAAACTGCTCAATCAAAGGAAAGGTTCAACACCTGGAGATGAATGCACACATCACAACGAAGTTTCTCAGAAAGCTTCTGTCTAGCTTTTCTGTGAAGATATTTCCTTTTTCACAATACATCTCAAAGTGCTCCAAATATCAGTTTGCAGATTCTACAAAAAGACTGTTTCCAAATGGATCTATCAAAAGAATGGTTCAACTCTGTGAGGTGAAAACACACATCACAAAGAACTTTCTCAGAATGCTTCTGTGTGGTTTACATGTGAAGATATTTCCTTTTCAAAATCGTCCTCAAAGGGCTCACAAATTTGCCTTTGTAGATACTACAAACAGACTGTTTCCAAAGTGCTCAATTAAAAGCAAGGTTCAACTCTGTGAGATGAATGCACACATCACAAAGAAGTTTCTCAGAATGCTTCTGTCCAGTTTTTATGTGAAGATACTTCTTTTTTCACCATATGCCTCAGAGCACTCCAAATATCCTTTTCAGATTATACAAAAAGACTCTTTCCAAACTGCTCAACCAAAAGAAACGTTCAACTCTGTGAGGTGAATGCACACATCACAAAGAAGTTTCTCAGAAAGCTTCTGTCTAGCTTTTATATGAAGATATTCCCTTTTTCACCATACGTCTCAAAGCACTCTTAATATCCCATTTCAGATTCTACAAAAAGACTGTTTCCAAACTGCTCTATCAAAAGAAACACTCAAATCTGTAAGATGAATGCACACGCAACAAAGTAGCTTGTCACAAAGCTTCTGTCTAGTTTTTTTGTGAAGATATTTCCTTTTTCACCATAAGCCTCAAACCGCTCACAACTATCTGTTTGCAGATTCTACAAAAAGACTCTTTCCAAACTGCTCAATCATAAGAAATGTTCAACTCTCTGAGATGAATGCACACGTCACAAAGAAGTTTCTCAGAAAGATTCCGTCTTGTTTTAATGTGAAGATATTTCCGTTTTCACCAGGTGCTTCAAAGCACTTCAAATATACCATTTGATATTCTACAAAAAGACTGTTTCAAAACTGCTCATTCAAAAGACACGTTCAAATCTCTGAGGTGAAAGCACACATCATGAAGTCGTTTGTCAGAAAAATTCTGTCTAATTTTTATGTGAAGATGTTTCCTTTTTCACCGTGTACATCAAACCACTCAGAAATATCCTTTTGCAGATTCTACAAAAAGACTGTTTCCAAACTGCTCAATCAAAAGAAACATTCAAATCTGTGAGATGAATGCACAATTCACAAAGAAGTTTCTCAGAATTCTTCTCTCTAGTTTTTATGTGAAGATATTTCCTTTTTCACCATAGGCCTCAAATTGCTCCAAATATCCCTTTACAAATTATACAAAAAGATTGTTTTCAAACTGCTCGATCAAAAGAAAGGTTCAACTCTGTGAGATGAATGCATGCATCACACAAAGTTGCTCAGAATGTTTCTGTCTAGTTGTTATGTGAAGATATTTCCTTTTTTACCTTACACCTCAAAGCACTCCAAATATCGCTTCACAGATTCTACAAAAAGACTGTTTCCAAACTTCTCAATCAAAAGAAGGGTTCCACTCTGTGAGATGAATGCACACATCACAAAGAGGTTTCTCAGAAAGCTTCTGTCTAGTTTTTATTTGAAGATATTTCCTTTTTCACGATAGGATTCAAATTGCTCCAAATATCCCTTTACAGTCTACAAAAAGACTGTTTCCCAGCTGCTCAATGAAAAGAAAATTTCACCACTGTGAGATGAAGGCACACATCACAAAGAAGTTTCTCAGAAAGCTTCTGTCTAGCTTTTATGTGAGGATATTTCTTTTTTCACCATAGGTGTCAAATTGCTCCAAGTATGCCTTTGCGAACTCTACAAAAAGACTGTTTCCAAACGTCTTAATCAAAAGAAAATTCATCTTTGTGAGATGAATGCACTCATCACAAAGAAGTTTCTCAGAAATCTTTGGTCTAGTTTTTATGTGAAGATATTTCCTTCATCACCATAGACCTCAAAGTGCTCAAAATATCCCCATGCAGATTACACAAACAGACTGTTTCCAAAGCGCTGAATCAAAAGAAAGTTTCAACTCTGTGAGATGAATGCACACATCACAAAGAAGTTTCTCAGAAAGCTTCTGTCTAGTTTTTATGTGAAGAAATTTCATTTTTCACCAAAGGCATGAAGTTCTCCAAATATTCCTTTGCAGTTTCTACAAAAAGATTGTTTCCAATGGCTTAATCAATATAAAGATTCATCTGTGTGAGATGAATGCACTCATCACAAAGAAGTTTCTCAGATAGCTTTGGTCTAGTTTTTATGTGAAGATACTTCTTTTTTTATCATATGCCTCAAAGCACTCCAAATTTCCCTTTTCAGATTCTACAGAGAGACTGCTTCCAAATTCTTCAGACAAAAGAAACTTTGCAAGATGAATGCACACTTCACAAAGAAGTTTATCAGAATGGTTCTGTGTAGTTTTTATGTGAAGATATTTCCTTTTGCACCATAGTCCTCAAAGTTCTCCAAATATCCCTTTGCAGATTCTACAAAAAGACTGTTTCCAAACTGATATATCAAAAGAATGTTTCAACTCTGTGAGATGAAAGCACACATCACAAATGACTTTCTCAGAAAGCTTCTGTGTAGTTTTTATGTGAAGATATTTCCTTTTTCAACATAGGCCTCAAAGGGCTCAAAAATATCCCTCTGTAGATCTACAAAAAGACTGTTTCAAAACAGCTCAATCAGAAGAAATGTTCAACTCTATGAGATGAATGCACAAGTCACAAAGAATTTTCTCACACTGCTTCTGTCTAGTTTTTATGTGAAGGTATTTCCTTTTTCGCCATAGGCCTCAAATTTGTCCAAATATCCCTTTACAGATTCTACAAAAAGACGGTTTCCAAACTGCTCAATCAAAAGATAATTTCAACTCTCTGAGATGAATGCATACATCACAAATAGGTTTCTCAGAAAGCTTCTGTCTAGTTTTTATGTGAAGATATTTCCTTTTTCACCACAGGCCTCAAACCTCTACCAAATATCCCTTTGCAGTTTCTACAAAAAGGCTATTTCCAAACTGCTCAATCAAAAGAATCGTCCAGCTCTGTGATATGAATGCACACAACAAAAAGGGGTTTCTCAGAAAGCCTTTGTCTAGTTTTAATATAAAGATATTTCCTTTGTCACCATAGGTCTCAAAGTGCTCCAAATATCCCTTTTCAGATTCTACAATAAGACTGTTTCCAAACTGGTCAATCAAAAGAAACTTTCCAATCTGCAAGATGAATGCACGCATCACATAGAACTTTCTTAGAAAGGTTCTTTGTATGTTTTATGTGAAGAGATTTCCCTTTTCATTATAAGCCTCAAAGGGCTAACAAATATCCTCTTGCAGATTCTACAAAAAGACTGTTAACAAACTGCTCAATCAAAAGAAATGTTCAACTCTGTGAGAGAATGCACACATCACAATGAAGTTTTTCAGAAAGCTTCTGTCTAGTTTTTATGTGAAGATATTTCCTTTATCACTATAGGCCTCAAACTGCTTCAAATATCCCTTTTCAGAATCTACAAAAACACTGTTTCCAAACTATCTATCAAAAGAATGGTTCAACTCTGTGAGATGAAAGCACACATCACAAAGAAGTTTCTCAGAAAAATTCTGTCTAGTTTTTATGTGAAGATATTTCCTTTTTCACCATAGGCGACAAAGAGCTAAAAAATATCCCTTTGCACATTCTACAAAAAGACTGTTTCCAAGTGGTTTAATGAAAGCAAATTTTGAACACTGTGAGATGAATGCACTCATCACAAGGAAGTTTCTCAGAAGACTTAGGTTTAGTTTTTATGTGAAGATATATCCTTTTTCACCATAGGCCTGTAATTGCTACAAATATCCCTTTGCAGATTCTACAAAAAGACTGTTTCCTAAGTGCTCCATCTAAAATAAGGTTCATCTCTGTGAGATGATTGCACACATCACAAAGAAGTTGGTCAGAATGCTTCTGGTTAGTTTTTATGTGAAGATATTTACTTTTTCACCATAGGCCTCTAAGTGCTCCAGATATCCCTTTGCAGATTCTACAAAAAGACTCTTTCCAAACTGATCTATCAAAAGAATGTTTCAACTCTGTGAGATGAAATCACACATCACAAAGAATTTTCTCAGAAAGCTTCTGTGTAGTTTTTCTGTGAAGATATTTCCTTTTTCACCATAGGCCTCAAAGGTTTAACATATATACTTTTGCAGATTCTACAAAAAGACTGTCTCCAAACTGCTCAATCAAAAGAAAGTTTCAACCCTGTGATGTGAGAGAATGCACACATCACAAAGAAGTTTCCCCAAAAGTTTCTGTCTAGTTTTTCTGTTAAGACATTTCCTTTTTCACTACAGTAGTCAAAGCGCTCAAAATATCACTTGACAGATTCTACAAAAAGACTGATTCCAAACTGTTCAATCAAAAGACAGTTTCAACTCTGTGACATGAATGTACATATCACAAACATCTTTCAGATAGTTTCTGTCAAGTTTTTATGTCAAAATATTTCCTTTTTCACCGTAGGCCTCAAAGCGCTCCAAATATTCCTTGGCAGATTCTACAAAAAGACTGTTTCCAAACTGCTCAATCAAAAGAAAGGTTCAGCCCTGTGAGATGAATACACACATGACAAAGAAGTTTCTCAGAAAGCTTCTGTCTATTTTTAATGTGAAGATACCTGCTTTTTCACCATAGGCCTCAAAGGGCTCACAAATATCCCTGGGCAGATTTTACAAGAAGACTGTTTCCAAACTGCTCAATCAAAAGAAAGGTTCACCTCTGTGAGATGAATGCACAAATCACAAAGAAGTTTCTCAAAAAGTTTCTTTCTAGTTCTTATGTGAAGATATTTCCTTTTTCACCATAGGACCCAAAGCGCTCCAAATATCCACTGCGAGATTCTACAAAAAACTGTTTCCAAAATGCTCCATCAAAAGAAAGGTTCAACTCCATGAGGTGAAAGCACACATCAGAAATAAGTTTCTCAGAAACCTTCTGTCTAGTTTTTATGTTAAGATATTTCCTTTTTAAGCCTAGGCCTCAAAGTGCTCACAAATATCCTTTTGTAGATTCAACAAAAAGACTGTTTCCAAGTTGCTGAATCAAAAAAAGCTTCAAATCTCTGAGTTGAAAGTACCCATCACAGAGAAGTTTCTCAGAAAGCTTCTGTCTACCGTTACCTTGCTGTTTTGGTTACTGTAGCCTTGTAGTATAGTTTGAAGTCAGGTAGTGTGATGCCTCCAGCTTTGTTCTTTTGGCTTAGGATTGACTTGGGGATGAGGGCTCTTTTTTGGTTCCATATGAACTTTAAAGTAGTTTTTTCCAATTCTGTGAAGAAGGTCATTGGTAGCTCGATGGGGTTGGCATTGAATCTATAAATTACATTGGGCTGTATGGCCATTTTCACAATATTGATTCTTCCTACCCATGAGCATGGAATGTGTTTCTATTTGTTTGTACCCTCTTTTATTTCCTTGAGCAGTGGTTTGTAGTTGTCCTTGAAGAGGTCATTCACATCCTTTGTAAGTTGGATTCCTAGGTATTTTATTCTCTTTGAAGCACTTGTGAATGGGAGTTTACTCATGATTTGGCTCTCTGTTTGTCTGTTGTTTGTGTATAAGAAGGCTTGTGATTTTTGCACATTGATTTTGTATCCTGAGACTTTACTGAAGTTGCTTATCAGCTTAAGGAGATTTTGGGCTGAGACAATGGGGTTTTCTAGATATACAATCATGTCATCTGCAAACAGGGACAATTTGACTTCCTCTTTTCCTAATTGAATACCCTTTATTTGCTTCTCCTGCCTAATTGAGATCAATGGAACAGAACAGAGCCATCAGAAATAATGCCACATATCTACAACTAACTGATCTTTGACAATCCTGAGAAAAACAAGCAATGGGGAAAGGATTCCCTATTTAATAATTGGTGCTGGGAAAACTGGCTAGCCATATGTAGAAAACTGAAACTGGATTCCTTCCTTACACCTTATACAAAAATCAATTCAAGATGGATTAAAGACTTAAACGTTAGACCTAAAACCATAAAAACCCTAGAAGAAAACCTAGGCTTTGCCATTCAGGACATAGGCATGGGCAAGGACTTCATGTCTAAAACACCAAAAGCAAGGCAACAAAAGCCAAAATTGACAAATGGGATCTAATTAAACTAAAGAGCTCCTGCACAGCAAAAGAAACTACCATCAGAGTGAACAGGCAACCTACAAAATGGGAGAAAATTTTCACAACCTACTAATCTGACAAAGGGCTAATATCCAGAATCTACAGTGAACTCAAACAAATTTACAAGAAAAAAACAACCCCATCAAAAAGTGGGTGAAGGACATGAACAGACACTTCTCAAAAGAAGACATTTATGCAGCCAAAAAACACATGAAAAATGCTCACCATCACTGGCCATCAGAGAAATTCAAATCAAAACCACAATGAAATATCATCTCACACCAGTTAGAATGGCAATCATTAAAAAGTCAGGAAACAACAGGTGCTGGAGAGGATGTGGAGAAATAGGAACACTTTTACACTGTTGGTGAGACAGTAAACTAGTTCAACCCTTGTGGAAGTCAGTGTGGTGATTCTTCAGGGATCTAGAACTAGAAATACCATTTGACCCAGCCATCCCATTACTGGGTATATACCCAAAGGACTATAAATCATGCTGCTATAAAGACACATGCACATGTATGTTTATTGCGGCATTATTCACAATAGCAAAGACTTGGAACCAACCCAAATATTCAACAATGATATACTGGATTAAGAAAATGTGGCACATATACACCATGGAATACTATGCAGCCATAAAAAATGGTGAGTTCATGTCCTTTGTAAGGAAATGGATGAAATTGGAAACCCTCATTCTCAGCAAACTATCGCAAGAACAAAAAACCAAACACCGCATATTCTCACTCATAGATGGGAATTGAACAATGAGAACACATAGACACAGGAAGAGGAACATCACACTCTGGGGACTGTTGTGGGGTGGGGGGAGGGCGGCGGGATAACACTGGGAGAAATACCTAGTGCTAGGTGACGAGTTGGTGGGTGCAGCGCACCAGCATGGTACATGTATACATATGTAACTAACCTGCACATTGTGCACATGTACCCTAAAACTTAAACGGTAATAATAAAAATAATAATAATAATAATAATAATAATAATAATAAAGAAAGCTTCTGTCTGGTTATAATGTGGAAGGTATTTCCTTTCTCACCATAGGCCTCAAACTTCTCACAAATATCCCTTTGCAGGTTCTACTAATAGACTGTTTCGAAAGTGCTGAATCAAAAGAAAGTTTGAACTCTGTGAGTTGAATGCACACGTCGCAAAGAAGTTTCTCAGAAAGCTATTGTCTAGTTTTTATGTGAAGATATTTCCTTTTTCACTGTACGCCACAAAGTGTGCAAAATATCCCTTTTCAGATTCTACAAAAAGACTGTTTCCAAACTGCTCAATCAAAAGAAAATTTCAAATCTGTGAGATGATTGCACACATCACAAGGAAATTTCTCAGAAGGCTTCTGTCTAGTTTTTATGTGAAGATATTTCCTTTTTCACCATGGGCCTCAAAGTGCTCCAAATATCCCTTTGCAGATTCTACAAAAAAAACTCTTTCCAAACTGATCTATCAAACGAATGGTTCAACTCTGTGAGATGAAATCACACATCACGAAGAACTTTCTTAGAAATCTTCTGTGTAGTTTTTATGTGGAGATATTTCCTTTTTCTCTGCAGGCCTCAAAGGACTCATAAATATCCCTATGCAGAATCTGCAAAAAGGCTGTTTCCAATCTGCTCCATCAAAAGGAAGTTTCAACTGCATGAGAGAATGCACCCATCACAAAGAAGATTTGCAGAAAACTTCTGTCTAGTTTTTATGTGAAGGTATTTCGTTTTTCACAATAGGTCTCAAAGTGCTCCAAATGTCCATTTGCAGACTCTACAAAAAGACTGTTTCCAAACTGCTCACTCAAAAGAAAGGTTCATATCTGTGAGTTGAAAGCACACATCATGAATAAGTTTCTGAGAAAGCTTCTGTCTAGTTTTTATGCGATGATATTTCCTTTCTCACCATAGGCCTCAAAGGGCTCAGAAATATCTCTTTGCAGATTCTACAAAAAGACTGTTTCCAAACTTCTAAATCAAAAGCAAGATTCAACTCTGTGAGATGAATGCACATATCACAAAGAAGTTTCTCAGAATGCTTCTGTCTAGTTCTTATGTGAGGGTATTTCCTTTCACACAATAGTCCTCAAACCTCTCACAAATATCCCTTTGCAGATTCTAAAAAAAGACTGTTTAGAAACTGCTCAATGAAAAGAAGGTTTAAATTCTGTGAGAGAATGCACACATCAAAAAGAAATTTCCCAGAAAGCTACTCTCTAGTTTTTATGTTAAAATATTGCCTTTTTCACCATAAGCCTCAAATGGTTAAAAAATACCTGTTTGCAGTTTCTTCAAAAGACTTTTTCCAAGCAGCTTAGTCAAAGCAAATATTGAAAGCTGTGAGATGAATGCACTCATCCCAAAGAAGTTTCTCAGAAGGCTTTGATTTAGTTTTTATGTGAAGATATATCCTTTTTCACCATAGGCCTGTAATTGCTACAAATATCCCTTTGCTGATTCTACAAAAAGACTGTTTCCAAAGTGCTCCATGTAAAGTAAGATTCATCTCTGTGAGATATTTCACACATCACAAAGCAGTTGGTCAGAATGCTTCTGGCTAGTTTTTATGTGAAGATACTTACCTTTTCACCATAGGCCTCAAAGTGCCCCAGATATCCCTTTGCAGATTCTACAAAAAGACTCTTTCCAAACTGATCTATCAAAAGAATGTTTCAACTCTGTGAGATGAAATCACACATCACAAAGAATTTTCTCAGAAATCTTCTGAGTAGTTTTTATGTGAAGGTATTTCCTTTTTCACCATAGGCCTCAAAGGGCTAACAAATATACTTATGCAGATTCTACAAAAAGACTGTTTCCAAACTGCTCAATGAAAAGAAAGTTTCAACTCTGTGAGAGAATGCACACATCACAAAGAAGTTTCCCACAAAACTTCTGTCTAGTTTTTATGTTAAGATATTTCCTTTTTGACTGCCGGGGTCAAAGTGCTCTAAATATACCTTGGCAGATTCTCCAAAAAGACTGTTTCCAAGCTGATAAATCAAAAGACAGTTTCAAATCTGTGAGATGAATGCACACATGGAAAGATATTTTTCAGATAGCTTCTGTCTAGTTTTTATGTTAAGATATTTCCTTTTTTACCATAGGCCTCAAAGCGCTCCAAATAATCCTTGGCAGATTCTACAAGAAGACTGTTTCCAAACTGCTCAATCAAAAGAAAGGTTCAGCCCTGTGAGATGAATGCACACATCACAAAGAATTTGCTCAGAATGCTTCTGTCTGGTTTCTATGTGAAGATATTTCCTTTTTCACCTTGGGCCTCAAAGTGCTCACAAATATCTGTTTGCAGATTCTACAAAAAGACTGTTTCCAAACTGCTCAATCAAAAGAAAGGTTCAACTTTGTGAGATGAATGCACCCATCACAAAGTTTCTCAGAAAGCTTCTGTCAATATTTTATGTGAAGATATTTCCTTTTTCACCATAAGACTCAAAGTGCTCCAAATATCCCTTTGCAAATTCTACAAAAAGGGTGTTTCCAAACTGATCAATTGACAGAATATTTCAACTCTGTGAGATGAAAGCACCCATCACAAAGAAGTTTTTCAGAATTCTTCTGTCTAATTTTTATGTGAAGGTATTTAATATTTCACCATAGGCCTCAAAGGGCTCACGAATATCTCTCTGTACATTCTAAAAATAGCCTGTTTCCAAACGGCTTAATCAAAAGGAAGGTTCAACTCTGTGAGATGAATGCACTCATCACAAAGAAGTTTCTCAGAAAGCTTTGGTCTAGTGTTTATGAGAAGATAGTTCCTTTTTCACCATAGGCCTCAAAATCCTCCTAATATACCATTGCAGATTCTACAAACAGACTGTTTCCAAAGTGCCCAATCAAAAGAAATGTTCAACTCTGTGAGATGAATGCACACTTCACTAAGTAGTTGCTCAGAAGGCTTCTGTCTAGTTTTTAGGTGAAGATATTTCCTTTTTCACCACAGGCCTCAAAGCATTCACAACTATCTGTTTACAGATTCTACAAAAACACTGTTTCCAAACTGCTCAATCAAAAGAAAGATTCGAATCTGTGAGATGAATGCACACATCAAAAAGAATTTTCTCAAAAAGCATGTCTCTAGTTTTTATGTGAAGATATTACCTTTTTCTCCACAGGCCCCAATGTGTTCCAAATATCCCTTTGCAGATTCTACAAAAAGACTCTTTCCAAATTGATCTATCAAAAGTTTGCTTCAACTCTATGAGATGAAAGCACACATCACAAAGATCTTTCTCAGAAAGCTTCTGTGTAGTTTTTATGTGAAGTTATTTCCTTTTTCACCATAGGCCCCAAAGACCTCACAAATACCCTTTTGCAGATTATAAAAAAAGTCTCTTTCCAAACAGCTCAATTAAAAGAAAGTTTCAACTCTGTGAGATGAATGCACACATCACAAGTAGTTTCTCAGAATGCTTCTGTCTAGTTTTTATGTGAAGATATTTCCTTTTTCTCCATATGCCTCAAATTGCTCCAAATATCCCTTTACAGATTATACAAAAAACTTTTCCCAAACTGCTCAATCAAAAGAAAGGTTCAACTCTGTGAGATGAAAGCACACATCACAAAGAAGTTTCTCAGAAAGCTTCTGTCTAGTTTTTATGTGAAGGTATTTCCTTTTTCACCATAGGTCTCAAACGGCTCACCAACATCCCTTTGCAGATCCTACAAAGAGACTGTTTCAAAACCGCCTAGTCAAAGGAAAATTCAACACTGTGAGATGAATGCACTCATCACCAAGAAGTTTCTCAGAAAGACTTGGTGTCGTTTTTATTTGAAGATGTTTCCTTTTTCACCACAGGGCTCAAAGGGCTCCAAATATCCCTTTGCAGATTCTACAAACAGACTGTGTCCAAAGTGCTCAATCAAAAGTCAATTTCAACTCTCTGAGATGAATGCACATATCACAAAGTAGTTGCTCAGAATGCTTCTGTCTAGTTTTTATGTGAAGATATTTCCTTTTTCACTCTAGGCCTCAATGTTCTCACAAATATCTGTTTGCAGATTCTACAAAAAGACTGTTTCCAAACTGCTCAATCAAAGGAAAGTTTCAACTCTGTGAGATAAATGCACACGTCACAAAGAAGTGTCTAAAAAAGATTCTGTTTTGCTTTTATGTGTAGATATTTCCTTTTTCACCATACGCTGCAGATGTTCCAAATATCCCATTTGAGATTCTACAAAAAGACTGTTTCCAAACTGCACAGTCAAAAGAAAGGTTCACCTCTGTGAGATGAATGCACACATCACAAAGAAGTTTCTCAGAATGCTTCTCTCTAGTTTTTATGTGAAGATATGTCCTTTTTCATCTTAGGCCTCAAATTGCTTCCAATATCCCTTTACAGATTCTACAATAAGATGGTTTCCAAACTCCTCAATCAAAAGAAAGTTTCACCTCTGAGAGATGAATGCACACATCACAGATAAGTTGCTCAGAATGCTTCTATCTAGTTCTTATGTGAAGATATTTTCTTTTTCACCATACACCTCAAAACAATCCAAATACCCCTTTTCAGATTCTACAAAAAGATTGTTTCCAAACTGCTCATTGAAAAGAAACGTTCCACTCTATGAGGTGAACGCACAGATCACAAAGTAGTTTGTCCGAAAGCTTCTGTCTGGTTTTTATGTGAAGATATTTCCTTTTTCACCATAGGCTTCAAACAACTCACAAATATCCTTTTGCAGATTCTGCAAAAATACTGTTTCCAACCTGCCCAATCAGAACAAAGATTTAAATCTGTGAGATGAATGCACACATCATAAAGAAGTTTCTCACAAAGCTTATCTCTAGTTTTTATGTGAAGATATTGCCTTTTTCTCCATAGGACACAAGGTGCTCCAACTATCCCTTTGGACATTCTACAAAAAGACACTTTCCAATCTGATCTATCAAAAGAATGGTTCAACTCTGTGAGATGAAAGCAGAAACCACAAAGAACTTTCTCAGAAAGCTTCTTTGTAGTTTTTATGTGAAGATATTTCCTTTTTCACCATACGCTTCAAAGCATTCCAAATATCCCTTTTCAGATTTGACAAAAAGACTGTTTCCAAACTGCACAATCAAAAGAAACATTCAACTCTGTGAGATGAGTGCACACATCACAAAGGAGTTTCTCAGAAAGCTTCTGTCTAGTTTTTAGGTGAAGATATTTCCTTTTTCACCGGAGTCCCCAAATTGCTCCAAATATCCCTTTGTAGATTCTATAAAGAGACTGTTTCCAAACTGATCAATTGAAAGAATGGTTCAACTCTGTTAGATGAAAGCATACTTCACAAATAAGTTTCTTAGAAAGCTTCTGTCCAGTTTTTATGTGAAGATATTTCCTTTTTTACCATAGACCTCAGAGGGCTCAAAATTATCCCTTTGCAGATTCTACAAAAAGACTGTTTACAAACTGCTCAATAAAAAGAAAGTTTCAACTGTATGAGATGTATGCACACATCACTAAGAAGTTTCTCAGAATGCTTCTGTCTAATTTTTGTGTGAAGATATTTTCTTTTACACCATAGGCCTCAAAGCACTCCAAACATCCACTTGCAGATTATACAAAAGACTGTTTCCAAACTGCTCAATCAAACAAAAGGTTCAACTCTGTGAGATGAAAGAACACACCACACAACCGGTTCTCAGAAAGCTTCTATCTAGTTTTCATGGGAATATATTTCCTTTTTTGCCATAGTCCTCAAAGGGCTCACAAATATCCCTTTGGAGATTCTACAAAAAGTCTGTTTCCAAACGCCTCAATCAAAAGAAAGTTCAGCTCTGTGAGATGAATGCATTCATCACAAAGAAGTTTCTCAGAAAGCTTTGATCTGGTTTTTATTTGAAGATATTTCCTTTTTCACCACAGTCCTCAAAGTACTCCAAATATCCCTTGGCGCATTCTAAAAATGGACTGTTTCCAAAGTGCTTAATCAAAAGAAAGCTACACCTGTGTGAGTTTAATGCAAGCATCACAAAGAAGTGGTACAAAATGCTTCTTTCTAGTTTTTATGTGAAAATATTTCCATTTTCACCATAGGCCTCATAGTGTTCACAAATATCTGTTTCCAGATAATACAAAAAGAGGATTTCCAAACTGTTCAAACAACAGAAAATTTCAACTCTGTGATATGAATGCAACCGTCAGAAAGAAGTTTCTCAGAAAGATTCTTTCTAGTTTTTATGTGAAGATATTTCCTTTTTCACCATACGCCTGAAAGCGCTCCAAGTATCCCTTTTCAGATTCTACAAAAAGACCATTTCCAAACTGCTCAATCAAAAGAAACGTTCACATCTGTGCAATAAATGCACACATCACAAAGAAGTTTGTCAAAAAACTTCTTTCTTGTTTTTATCCAAAGATGTTTCCTTTTCCGCCATAGGCTTCAAACAGCTCACAAATATCCTTTTGCAGATTCTACAAAAAGACTGTTTCTAAACTGCTCAATCAAAAGAAAGGTTCAACTCTGTGAGATGAATACACTCATCAGAAAGAAGTTTCTCAGAAAACTTTGGTCTAGTTTTTATGTTAAGATACTTCCTATTTCACCATAGGGCTCAAAGTTCTCCAAATATCCCTTTGCAGATTCTATGAACAGACTGTTTCCAAAGTGCTCAATCGAAAGAAAGGTTCAACTCTGTGAGATGAATGCGCACGTCACAGAGAAGTTTCTCAGAAATCTTCTGTCTAGTTTTTGTGTGAAGATATTTCCTTTTTCACCATGTGACAAAGTGATCCAAATATCCCTTTTCAGATTCTGCAAAAAGACTGTTTCCAAACTGCTCAATAAAAAGAAACATTTGTCTCTTTGAGATGTATGCACCCATCACAAAGAAGTTTGTGAGAAAGTTTCTATCTAGTTCTTATGTGAAGATATTTCCTTTTTCATCATATACCTCAAAACGCTCACAAATATCCTTTTGCAGATTCTACAAAAAGTCTGTTTCCAAATCGCTCATCCCAAGAAATGATTCAAATCTGTTAGATGAAAGCACATATCACAAAGAAGTTTCTCAGAAAGCTTCTCTGTAATTTTCATGTGAAGATATTTCCTTTTTCACCATAGGCCTCAAGAGGCTCAGAAATATCCTTTAGTAGATCTACAAAAAGACTGCTTCCAAACTGCTCAATCAAAAGAAATATTCACCTCTGTGAGATGAGTGCACATATCTCAAAGAAGTTGCTCAGAATGCTTCTGTCTAATTCTTATGTGAAGATATCTCCTTTTTCAATGTACGCCTCAAAAAACTCTAAATATCCCTTTTTAGATTCCACAAAAGAATGATTCCAAACCTCTCAAACAAAAGAAAAGTTCAACTCTGTGAGATGAATGCACACGTCCCAAAGAAGTTTCTCAGAAAATTTCTATCTAGTTTTTAGGTGAAGATATTTCCTTTTTCACCATACTCCTGAAAGCACTCCAAATATCCCTTTTTAGATTCTACTAAGAGACTCTTTCCAAAATGCTCAATCAAAAGAAATGTTCAACTCTGTCAGATGAAAGCACACATCAGAAAGAAGTTTCTCAGAATGCTTCTGTCTAGTTTTCATGTGAAGATAGTTCCTTTTCAACTATAGGCCTCAAAGGGCTCCAAAACATCGCTTTGCAGATTCCAAAAACGAATGCTTCCAAACTGCTCAACCAAAAGAAAGGTTCAACTCTGAGAGTCGAATGAATATATCACAAAGAAGTTTCTGAGAATGCTTCTGTCTAGTTTTTATGTGAAGATATTTCCTTTTTCACCATAGGCCTCAATGAAATCCAACTATCCACTTACAGATCATACAAAAAGACTCTTTCCAACCTGCTCCATCAAAAGAGAGGTTTAACTTTGTGAGATGAATCCACATATCACAAAGGAGTTTCTCAGAAGCTTTTGTCTAGTTTTTGTATAAAGATATTTCCTTTTTCACCATAGGCCTCAAAGCACTCATGAATATCTGTTTGCAGATGCTACAAAAAGACTGCTTCGAAACTGCTCAATCAAGAGAAAGTTTCAGCTCTTTGAGATGAATGCACACATCACAAAGAAGTTTCTCAGAATCCTTCTGTGTAGCTTTTATGTGAAGATATTTCGTTTTTTACCATGGGCCTCAGAGTGTTCCAAATATCCACTTGCAGATTCTGCAAAAAGACTGTTTCCAAACTGCTCTATTAAAAGAAATGTTCAACTCTGTGAGATGAAAGCACACATCACAAAGAAGTTTCTAAGAAGGCTTCTGTCTAGTTTTTATGTGAAGATATTTCCTTTTTCACCATTTACCTCAAAGGGCTCAAAAATACCCCTTTGCAGGTACTACATAAAGACTGTTTCCAAACGGCTTAACCAAAAGAAAGTTTTAACTCTGGGAGAGGAATGCACATGTCACAATGAAGTTTCTCAGAAAGCTTTGGTCTAGTTTTTATGTGAAGAGATTTCCTTTTTCACAAGTGGCCTCAAAGTGCTCGAAATATCCCTTTGAAGATTCTACAAACAGACTCTTTTCAAAGTGCTCAATTAAAAGAAAGTTTCAACTCTGTGAGATAAATGCGCACAACACATAGAAGTTGCTCAGAATGCTTCTGTCTAGTTTTCATGTTAAGATATTTCCCTTTTCTCCGTAGGACTCAACGTGCTCACAAATATCTGTGAGCAGATTCTACAAAACGACTGTTTCCAAACTGCTCAATCAAAAGAAAGTTTCAACTCTGTGAGATGAATGCATGCATCAGAAAGAAGTTACACAGAATACTTATGTCTAATTTATATGTGAAGATATTTCCTTTTTCACTATATGCCTCAAAGCATTCTAAGTATTCCACTTCAGATTCTACAGAAACAGTTTCCAAACAGCTCAATCAAAAAACAAGTTCAAATCTGTGAGACGAATGCACACAACACAAAGAAGTTTCTCAGAAACCTTCTGTCTAGTTTTTATGTGAAGATATTCTCTTTTTCTTTATAGGCCTAAAACAGCTCACAAATATCCCTTTGCAGATTCTACAAAAAGACTGTATCAAAACTGCTCAATCAAAGGAAAGGTACAACTCTATGAGATGAATTCACACATCACAAAGAAATTTCTCAGAATGCTTCTGTCTAGTTTTTATGTGAAGATATTTCCTTTTTCACCAAAGGCTTCAAAGCGCTCCAAATTATACACTTGAAGATTCTACAAAAAGACTTTTTCCAAATTCCTCAATAAGAAGAAAGATTCAACTCTGTGAGATGAAAGCGCCCAACACAAAGAAGTTTCTCAGGAAGCTTCTATTTAGTTTTTATGTGAAGATATATCCTTTTTCACCGCAGGCCTTATTGGGCTCACAAATATCTCTTTGCAGGGTCTAAGAAAAGATGGTTTTGAAATGGCTTAATCAAAAGAAAAGTTCAAATCTGCCAGGCGAATGCACTCAACACAAAGAAGTTTCTCAGAAAACTTTGGTCTAGTTTTCATGTGAAGATATTTCCTTGTTCACAGTAGGCCTCATATTGCTCCAAATATCCCTTTGCAGATTCTAGAAACAGACTGTTTCCAACGTGCTAAATAAAAAGAAAGGTTCAACTTTGTGAGATGAATGTACACGTCACAAAGAGGTTTCTTTTTCTTTTTATGTTTTTATTTTATTATTATTATACTTTAAGTTTTAGGGTACATGTGCACAATGTGCAGGTTAGTTACATATGTATACATGTGCCATGCTGGTGTGCTGCACCCATTAACTCGTTATTTAGCATTAGGTATATCTCCTAATGCTATCTCTCCCCCCTCCCCCCAACCCACAACAGTCCCCAGAGTGTGATGTTTCCCTTCCTGTGTCCATGTGTTCTCATTGTTCCATTCCAACCTATGAGTGAGAATATGCAGTGTTTGGTTTTTTGTTCTTGAGATAGTATACTGAGAATGATGATTTCCAATTTCATCCATGTCCCTACAAAGGACATGAACTCATCATCTTTTATGGCTGCATAGTATTCCATGGTGTATATGTGCCACGTTTTCTTAATCCAGTCTATCATTGTTGGACATTTGGGTTGGTTCCAAGTCTTTGCTATTGTGAATAGTGCTGTAGTAAACATATGTGTGCATGTGTCTTTATAGCAGCATGATTTATAGTCCTTTGGGTATATACCTAGCAATGGGATGGCTGGGTCAAATGGTATTTCTAGTTCTAGATCCCTGAGGAATCCCCACACTGACTTCCACAATGGTTGAACTAGTTTACAGTCCCACCTATTTCTCCACATCCTCTCCCGCACCTGGTGCTTCCTGACTTTTTAATGATTGCCATTCTAACTGGTGTGAGATGGTATCTCATTGTGGTTTTGATTTGCATTTCTCTGATGGACAGTGATGGTGAGCATTTTTTCATGTGTTTTTTGGCTGCATAAATGTCTTCTTTTGAGAAGTGTCTGTTCATGTCCTTCACCCAGTTTTTGATGGGGTTGCTTTTTTTTTTTCTTGTAAATTTGTTTGAGTTCATTGTAGATTCTGGATATTAGCCCTTTGTCAGATGAGTAGGTTGCGAAAATTTTCTCCCATTTTGTAGGTTGCCTGTTCACTCTGATGATAGTTTATTTTGCTGTGCAGAAGCTCTTTAGTGTAATTAGATCCCATTTGTCAATTTTGGCTTTTGTTGCCATTGCTTTTGGTGTTTTAGACATGAAGTCCTTGCCCATGCCTATGTCCTGAATGGTAAAGTCTAGGTTTTCTTCTACAGTTTTTATGGTTTTAGGTCTAACGTTTAAGTCTTTAATCCATCTTGAATTACTTTTTGTATAAGGTGTAAGGAAGGGATCCAGTTTCAGCTTTCTACACATGAAAGCTTTTGGCTTAGAACTGGCTTGGAGATACGTGCTCTTTTTTGGTTCCATATGAACTTTAAAGTAGTTTTTTTCCAATTGTGTGAAGAAAGGCATTGGTAGCTTGATGGGGATGTCATTGAATCTATAAATTACCTTGGGCAGCATGGCCATTTTCACGATATTGATTCTTCCTACCCATGAGCATGGAATATTCTTCCATTTGTTTGTATCCTCTTTTATTTCATTGAGCAGTGGTTTGTAGTTCTCCTTGAAGAGGTCCTTCACGTCACTTGTAAGCTGGATTCTTAGTATTTTATTATCTTTGAAGCAATTGTGAATGGGAGTTCACTCATGATTTGGTTCTCTGTTTGCCTGTTATTGGTGTATAAGAATGTTTGTGATTTTTGTACATTGATTTTGTATCCTGAGACTTTGCTGAAGTTGCTTACTTATCAGCTTAAGAAGATTTTGGGCTGACACAATGGGGTTTTCTAGATATAAAATCATGTCATCTGCAAACAGGGACAATTTGACTTCCTCTTTTCCTAATTGAATATCCTTTATTTCCTCCTCCTGCCTAATTGCCCTGGTCAGAACTTCCAACACTTTGTTGAATAGGAGTGGTGAGAGAGGGCATCTGTCTTGTGCCAGTTTTCAAAGAGAAGGCTTCCAGTTTTTGCCCATTCAGTATGATATTGACTGTGGGTTTGTCATAGATAGCTGTTGTTTTTTTTTTTTTTGAAATACGTCCCATCAATTTATTGAGAGTTTTTAGCATGAAGGTTGTTGAATTTTTTCAAAGGACTTTTCTGCATCTATTGAGATAATCATGTGGTTTTTGTCTTTGGTTCTGTTTATATGCTGGATTACATTTTTTGATTTGCGTATATTGAGTCAGACTTGCATCCCAGGGATGAAGCCCACTTGATGATGATGGATAAGCTTTTTGATGTGCTGTTGGATTCAGTTTGCCAGTATTTTATTGAGGATTTTTGCATCAGTGTTCATCAAGGATATTGGTCTAAAATTCTATTTTTGGGTGGGTTTGTGCCTGGCTTTGGTATCAGGATGATGCTGGCCTCATAAAATGAGTTAAGGAAGATTCCCTCTTTTTGTATTGATTGGAATATTTTCAGAAGGAATGGTACCAGTTACTCCTTGTACTTCTGGTAGAATTCGGCTGTGAATCCATCTGGTCCTGGACTCTTTTTTGTTGGTAAGCTATTGATTATTGCCATGATTTCAGAGCCTGTTATTGGTCTATTCAGAGATTCAACGTCTTCCTAGTTTAGCCTTGGGAGAGTGTATGTGTCAAGGAATTCATCCATTTCTTCTAGATTTTCTAGTTTATTTGCGTAGAGGTGTTTGTAGTATACTCTGCTGGTAGTTTGTATTTCTGTGGGATCAGTGGTGATATCCCCTTTATCATTTTTTATTGCATCTATTTGATTCTTTTTTCTTTTATTCTTTATTAATCTTGCTAGCAGTCTATCAATTTTGTTGATCCTTTCAAAAAACCAGCTCCTGGATTTATTAATTTTTTGAAGGGTTTTTTGTGTCTCTACTTCCTTCAGTTCTGCTCTGATTTTAGTTATTTCTTGCCTTCTGCTAGCTTTCGAATGTATTTGCTCTTGTTTTTCTAGTTCTTTTAATTGTTATGTTTGGGTGCCTATTTTCGATCTTTCCTGCTTTCTCTTGAGAGCATTTAGTGCTATGAATTTCCCTCTACACACTGCTTTGAATATGTCCCAGAGATTCTGGTATGTTGTGTCTTTGTTCTGCTTGGTTTCAAAGAACATCTTTATTTATTGCTGCCTTCATTTCATTATGTACCCTGTAGTCATTCAGGATCAGGTTGTTCAGTTTCCATGTAGTTGAGTGGTTTTGAGTGAGTTTCTTAATCCTGATTCTTCGTTTGATTGCACTGTGGTCTGAGAGACAGTTTGTTATAATTTCTGATTTTTTACTGTTGCTGAGAAGAGCTTTAGTTCCAACTATGTGGTCAATTTTGGAATAGGTGTGGTGTGGTGCTGAAAAAAATGTATATTCTGTTGATTTGGGGTGGAGAGTTCTGTAGATGTCTATTAGGTCTGCTTGGTGCAGAGCTGAGTTCAATTCCTGGGTATCCTTGTTGACTTTCTGTCTTGTTGATCTGTCTAATGTTGACAGTGGGGTGTTAAAGTCTCCCATTATTATTGTGGGGAAGTCTAAGTCTCTTTGTAGGTCACTCAGGACTTGCTTTATGAAACTGGGTGCTCCTGTATTGGGTGCATATATATTTGGGATAGTTAGCTCTTCTTGTTGAATTGATCCCTTTACGATTATGTAATGGCCTTCTTTGTCTCTTTTGATCTTTGTTGGTTTAAAGTCTGTTTTATCTGAGACTAGGATTGCAACTCCTGCCTTTTTTGTTTTCCATTTGCTTGGTAGATCTTCCTCCATCCTTTTATTTTGAGCCTATATGTGTCTCTGCACGTGAGATGGGTTTCCTGAATACAGCACACTGATGGGTCTTGACTCTTTATCCAATTTGCCAGTCTGTGTCTTTTAATTGGACTATTTAGCCCATTTACGTTTAAAGTTAATATTTTTATGTGTGAATTGGTCCTGTCATTATGATGTTAGCTGGTTATTTTGCTCATTAGATGGTGCAGTTTCTTCCTAGCTTCGATGGTCTTTACAATTTGGCATGATTTTGCAGTGGCTGGTACTGGTTGTTCCTTTCCATGTTTACTGCTTCCTTCAGGAGCTCTTTTTGGGCAGGCCTGGTGGTGACAATGTCTCTCAGCATTTGCTTGCCTGTAAAGTATTTTATTTCTCCTTCACTTATGAAGCTTAGTTTGGCTGGATATGAAATTCTGGGTTGAAAATTCTTTTCTTTAAGAATGTTCAATATTGGTCCCCACTCTCTTCTGACTTGTAGAGTTTCTCCCAAGAGATCTGCTGTTAGTCTGATGGGCTTCCCTTTGTGGGTAACCCGACCTTTCTCTCTGGCTGCCCTTAACATTTTTTTCTTCATTTCAACTTTGCTGAATCTGACAATTGTGTGTCTTGGATTTGGTCTTCTCGAGGATTATCTTTGTGGCATTCTCTGTATTTCCTGAATCTGAATGTTGGCCTGCCTTGCTAGATTGGGGAAGTTCTCCTGGATAATATCCTGAAGAGTGCTTTCCAACTTGATTCCATTCTCCCCGTCACTTTCAGGTATACCAATCAGACGTAGATTTGGTCTTTTCACATAGTCCCATATTTCCTGGAGGCTTTGTTCGTT